>NC_000003.12:170978301-171129816 GCF_000001405.40 Homo sapiens | reverse complement strand
GCCCTCCGAGGCAGTCTTTCTGCTGTAAATATGTACTAAAGGTAATGATGACCTGTTTAGAAAGGGCATTCACTGGCTCAGCATTTCCCGTGAAGCCCTTGGGATCTGTTATCTGCTTTGGGCTGAAAGAGACCCTGGAAGAAAGGGAATGACAAGGAAATGAAACAGCCTGAGAGAAGACAGGGTTAGAGGGGAAGAGAAAGGAGGAGAAGCAAGAATGAACACCACATGTGTAGAAACAGGGAGGAAGAAAGGGGAGAGCAAGACAGTGGAGTCCAAGCTGGACATGAAAGAATGAGATGGGGCAGTGTATTTGAGGAAGCAGGAAAGACAACTGGAAAGAAAGACCCCTAAAGAGAGAAAAAGAAAGTGATACAGGAAGCCTATTTGAAACACGCCACGCGCATTAAGCAGGCAGCCTGGAACACCCACTTGTCTATCAGTAGGACACGTGAAGAAATGCAGGGTGCATGCACTCAGCTTCATCCTCTTGTTCTTCCTCTCATGTTCCATGAGTCAACCCAAAGCAATTTTCTATGTTCCCCAAGCCATCTAAATGCATGCTACCATTCCCTTTGATTGTCTAGAGTGCAAACTGTCTTCCTCACTGACCCCATGGCATTGCGACCAATCAGTAAGATAATATCACAATCAATACAAGATAAACTCTTAGCAGGTCACGAATTCCCTGCTAACCGAATAACACTAGATAATGGGTAATGGAAGAGTGATGGCTTGGGTGTTCTATTTTGTTGTTGCTGTTGCTAGTGTTTGCTCTTTGCAAACTCTTGATGCAGCACAGAGTTTTGTCTTCTTAAAATCAGTTGATCAGAGGATTCAAATGGCTGTGCAGGTGACTACAGAAAATCCTTGCTAGAAGGTGATCTACTTCTATACATTGAGGCTGTCTTTTTTTTTTTTTTTTTTTTGGGTTGTAGGTAGAAGAACGGTCAAGGCTCAACCGGCAAAGTTCCCCTGCCATGCCTCACAAGGTTGCCAACAGGATATCTGACCCCAACCTGCCCCCAAGGTCGGAGTCCTTCAGCATTAGTGGAGTTCAGCCTGCTCGAACACCCCCCATGCTCAGACCAGTCGATCCCCAGGTACAGTCTGCCTCCATTCCATCAGGCATTCCAATAAGTTGCACAAGAAAACCTATTATTAAAAGCCTAGGGAATTGTAACATGGATTCAGGCACAGGATCAAATTATGACCCTTAATATAGAATTTATAGTAAAATAGGTGGCCCCACTGATTTTTAAGAGTAGAAGAACAGGTGAGAAAGAAAAAAGCATCACCCTTAAACTTGAGTCAACCACAAACTCACTTCTATTTAAATTGGCCTCTCTGGGGACCCATAGGAGTTCCTGCAAGGTGAGAACAAGCATTCTTTTAGTTGCAATTGCCAAAACTAGAATTCATAGAAACTTTGAGGTGTGTGTATGTGTGTGCATTATATATTTTTTGTTTTCTTGGGACTTTGGCATGAGCCTGAAACTGAAAAAATTAAATAGACTTGGTTAAGTAAAATTACGTCTTCTAAGCCAGTGGTTCTCAAAGTGTAAATCACTGGACCAGCAGCATCAACCATCACCCAGGAACTTGATAGAAATGCAGATTATTGGGCCCACTTCAGACCAACTGATCAGCAACTCTGGGGGTGGGGGAGGCCTGGCAGTCTGTGATTTAACAAGACCTCTAAGTGATTCTAATGTACTTTAGAGTTTGAGAACAACTATTAAAAGCTATAGGGTAAAGAAAAAAGATTACTCCACTTTTAGGAAAGGAGGGGGTTTCTGGAAGTTCTGCAGGACTTTTAAGTTATATATGCCAAAAATGAAATATGAAGTGAAATAGATTAAGGAATTCCATGAAAAATAATGTAGTTTCTTCTGCCAAATGTCTTAAATTTCTTCCAGGCATCCACCTGTGTTAAGACTTCCACGAAATATTTTAAGGTCACCTTTGAAATATGTAATGCTGTTTGAACTGGAGTTTAAAAGAGTAGTGATAAAATCAAGTATTCTTTGTGTTTTCAGTTTGCCTTTAGTAAATAAAGTCCAAGATTTTTCAGCACCAGGCAGCTTGGCATATCTTCCTCTTGGCTGTTTTTAATTTGTATATAATTCTTTCATGCCTAACCCTCAAAAAGATACATTTTTTTACAGGAATTTCTATTTTAATGTACAAATATCCTCTTTTAAAACCCCTAACGTTGACCTTGGAAGGTACTTTGGCCTTTAAAAGGGGAGAAGAGAGGGAAAATGTACTTGATGAGAACAACCAGAGTGAAAATGTAGATATTTTGTGACAGTTAATTCACTTAAGCTTTCTTCAGGTGCTTCAGTTTGGGGGTTGTGTGGTGTGGTTTTTTTTATTTTTTTATTTTTTGGCTCTTTTAAAGTGGGTTTGTGTTTTATACTAGATATTTTTTTAAATGGGCTTTGTTTTAATATTATTATTTATTTAATGATATTTAACATTAATATAAATCCAGTAGGTTCTATTCTGGTTGAAGCTTAACATTCAGCTAAACTGGGCTTTGAAGATTTCCTCTGAACTGTCATTAATAACATTCCAGCACTTAAATTTAAAACCAAAGAGGATTTGACAGGTCCTTGCACAAAACAGATATTAAACTAATGTTTGTTGAATTAACAGTGTAATTTAGAAGGCACTGTAGATTTTTTCCCCAACCAGGATTTATGGGACACCTTCCCCATGCCAGGCACAGAGCTAGCCTAGGGGATATGACGATGAGCATGACAGACATAGTGCCTCTCTCTAGGGAGCTCACCTTCGTGAAGTAATAGGAGACACGCTTAGATAAGCACTAACTATGAGGTGTGAGCAGTGCTATGGCAAAGTGGTGCCCTGCACTCTGGATTTTAATGATTTGTCTTTAAGAGCCACAACTTCGCTGAAAGACTGCCTGTCTTCCCTGCGTGAACAGTATCACCACATGCCCAGTTGGCCTAGTTGAGATACTTAACTCAAAAAGTTACATCCTGGTGTCAAGAGATAATACGACAGCATAGATGGTAAGAGCCAGCACAGGAGAAAGTAGAATATCATAGAGGTTAGGTTTATGAGCTATGGGTGTAGAATGCCTGGTCCAGTCCATGCTCCAGCAGGTGTTATCTGTGCAATCTAGGGTATTGCTAAACCTCTCTACACCTTACATTGCTCCGGTGTAAAATGAGGGAAATGACTGTATCCACCTCAGGATGGACTCAGTGAGTTCATAACAAGTAAGATATTTAGAGCAGTTTTTGTTTTACAGAGCAACACCCTCTAATGTAAAAGTTAGGGGTTTTAAAGGAGGAATTTCATAATATTAGCAGAGAAGTGCTTATAAAATACATTGCATTGCTGGTCAATAAATATTCACTAAATATACAGTAGTTATTGTTATTATTTCACACATTCCACTGACTTAGCGTTCCCAAGTAAATCATTTAACTTTGTGCCAACCCTACATATCGTTCCAATGGAAAATTTTGAAGAGCTGTTAAAAAACATGCTATATATAGTTGTGATAGACTCTCTATAGTCCAATTTTTGTGCCCTTGAACTTTTTTTTTTTTTTCCTTCAGCTCACTGAGGTACTGGCTGATCTCTTTTTTCTTCTAATAGTGCTGTTTTCATGTTGTTTTGATGCTTAGATCCCACATCTGGTAGCTGTAAAATCCCAGGGACCTGCCTTGACCGCCTCCCAGTCAGTGCACGAGCAGCCCACAAAGGGCCTCTCTGGGTTTCAGGAGGCTCTGAACGTGACCTCCCACCGCGTGGAGATGCCACGCCAGAACTCAGATCCCACCTCGGAAAATCCTCCTCTCCCCACTCGCATTGAAAAGTTTGACCGAAGCTCTTGGTTACGACAGGAAGAAGACATTCCACCAAAGGTAATATTTACTGGGGTGTTTTTTTTAATCACCAGCATCACTGATGATTTTTATTACCACTATTCCAGACCTTTCGTAGTAGTGGAGAATGTGATCATGCCAAAGCACTTCCCCTTCTCATGTTTGTTTTGGTCCCTCTTCATTCCCTGGCTAAGACTTGGATTGCCATTTACCATGTCTGACCTTTATTTCCCCCGCAAGAAAACTGAAGTCAGGTAGATTGAAGCACAGATCCTACGTCCAAAGTTAGAACTCTCAACACCAAGTATTCCAAACTGTCATTTTGCTATCCATATTAACAAATAAAGTAATGGATATTTCATTGATGACTGAATCTACATCAAGACAATTGAAAACTTCCAGATAAAAAGTAGAAAATCCATGTATTCCTATTTTTAACAACACAAAAGTGAAGCCAGATTTCAGGGGTTCAGAAGATAGTATTGTTCTTAGGATATTTTAGTTGGCCCCATTTTAAGGAAAGCTCTTTCTAGGCCAAGTCATAATTTATTTCCATCTTTAATTAACTACTGAGGAAAAACCTTAGGGTAAAATGACCAGCCATTCCACTGGACAGAACAGCCCTGAGTTTGGGTTCTTTTGTTTTCCTATACCAAGTCATTACTCATTCCAAGAAATGTTCTAGAATGTGGCTGTGTGCATCTAGCTACAAACAACCTGGAAGTATTTCAAAATACTAGAGACATTTTTTGCATCGGATTCTTCCTGGCTCAGGAATCCCCCTTTTCCTGAGATTAGCATAGAGGCTGTGACAAATGGAATGTTCCACAATTTGCAGAAAATGCCACTGTTAATTCCAGAAGAAAAAGAAGCTTTTACTCAATTACAAATACATTTCCTCATCTTCCTCTTAAAAGGATATTATAACAAGAGTCCCATTATTTTGAAAATAAAAAAAGCTGATAATTTTTTGAGATTCTTTGTGGAAGCAGAAATGCCATCAGAAAAAAAAGGGTACATAGGGAGCAAAAGTCAATATGAAAAATAAAGTGGGCAAAGGAGCAGACACAATAGATGGAAAAGCTGAAAACTGAATTTATTGGTCCACTCTCTAAAAATACGCAGGCATACATGCATGAACCTGGGAGAAAATTTTAGATGAATTCAAAAACTTAGGTTTTAAGAATTCGTTAGGCTCTTCTGTCTCTACAACTATGTACATTTATGGTAAGGAAAAGAAAAAATAGTAATAATTAATTTGAACAGGTAGTAGCATTGATTTGGTCATTCTGCTTTACTTTACTGACTCATCTTTATGTTAAAATGAATAATAAAAATTAAATTTTCAAAACAAAGGATGACACTTTACACTGAAAGTAATTTTCTATACTAGGATTCATAATATGATTCTTTTAAATAACGGACTCCTTTGGTACACTTAAAATATTTAATTTCATTTTAAAATGTCTGTTTTATAAATTGGGACATACTTCAATTCTACCTTAGGTTTCTGCCAGATAAGCTAATAATACATTTTCCTCAAGTCTTATTGGTACTTACACAGCCTTTTTGAAGATCCTTCCAGTATTTTCAGTATTAATTCTGCTTTGTATTATGTTCTATTATGTTCACTAATTGACCAAGACACAGTGCTTTTGGTTTTTGGTTTTAGTAGGTAATTGCAAATCAATTAGAAAGTAGAAACATTCAAGATCTACTGTGGTAGGTTCTCTGAGCTCACCAACATATGACTTATGTCTTAAGCTCTATCCTGATATTCTAGTTTCTCACCAGATTTCATGATTTCCTTATCTGTTTATTGTGATGTAAGCTAAAAGTGGAACTTGCTTCATCTGGGTGGCTCTCAGCTGATGCAACTTCCAATGAGTTAATGATACCCTAAAGAAATTCCTGGTATTTACCACTTTTGCCCAACCAAGAGAGGTCAATTATTTTTAGCTCAGTGTATCAAAATTATTAGCTTTACCTATCTTTAAATTTGTTTTTAAGATTGAGGATGACCCTCTTTAATGGTTCCCAAATTTGCTCATTGTTTTTTGCCAGTAGACCTTTGTTTGATTTTGTTTAGGGAGTTTAATATTTCTTCGAGGAATGAATGAAAGATAGTTCTTTACTGTTTCGGATAGTTTCTGTGGCTTCTGGCAAATCATTGGAAAGGAGGATTTTCTGACAACAGGCTATGGAAGCTACTTTATGGAAAATATTTCTGAATTCTGGTTTCTTCCAGGTGCCTCAAAGAACAACTTCTATATCCCCAGCATTAGCCAGAAAGAATTCTCCTGGGAATGGTAGTGCTCTGGGACCCAGACTAGGATCTCAACCCATCAGAGCAAGGTAAGAAAGGAAGGTGGTTATGGTAAAAGAAGAAACTCCTACCCACCATTGTCATTATTGCTTTCCTAGAAATGCCTGTGTTCTTTTTTCTCTTCAGAGGCAGGTTGACTTTCCATGTGCACTATAAACGTTGATGGTCCAGAACACATGCCTTTTATTTCTTCAGTAGCTTTTCAGAGAAATCAGTATTCAGTGGGGGGCTCATGAATAAATTAATTAATGGGGCAACCCAGAAACCAATCAGATGTACCTTAGCGGACAGTTTTTAAAATCTGAGAGTAAAATTTGCAAATATGGATCTGGTTGCAATGCCCTAAAGCATTACTTCAGAGATCAGTTTAGAGTCAGCAGAACAAAATGACCTGTTATGGCCCATTTCGAGGTGATTTTTAGCATCAGGTCAAGAAACATGCCCTGGGAACCATTGAGACATTACAAAGCAATTACCATGGAAATAGTGACCATCTTCAGAGCTTCTCTAGCTTGGCAGTTATAGAAGAACTAGCTCTTACGAGGAAGTTGCCTCTTTGGCATTACAAAGGTCACTGAAATACAGTTATGCTTCCACTCTTGCTCTGTGTCCTCCTTCCAGAATTTCCTATCAATAATGTACATTCCTACAGTCAGAAAGTTGCATCCACTTCCACTGGTTGGTGTAGAGGTCTCAAGAAGCTGGAAAGTAAACAGTATCTTTAGTGTCTGAGCAAATTTTTTGTGGTAACAGATGCTGTTTGCTGTTATAGTTCATCAAGCTTCCCTCAGATTTTTCATGATGAATACATCACTTTTTAGGATCAACTGAAATAGCAAATGGCCTCTGCTAAGGCTATAAAAAGGATGTGATTGGGCAGGCTGTTTTCTTCTTCATTGTGTTCATAATAAAAGGACCCTCCTTTGCTAGTAAGAGAGAATGACTGGAAATGAAGCTTATGATTACATGCACATATCTTTAAAATATGGAATGCTTTAAATCATAAAGTTTTAATTTTCCTCTTCACATGAAAAGCCTTAGGGAAGGGGTCAGCCCAGCAATAACATGAAACTATACTAAGAACATGAATTCCTTTAGGGCAAAGATGCTAGCCCATTCTGTGTGGAATTACCAATTGCAAGAGGCTCTGAATGAGCCATTTTTTTTCCAGTGACTTGTCTGATTCACACTGAGCTGGTATTGCTAAGCAGCTAAGCAGCACTGAGGAAGACTAGAGCCACTGTGACCAGGCAGCCAAGGGAACGTTAGTGCTGGATCGCCAGCCTGAACTTTATCAGTGCCCCTCTTCAAGCAGTGATAAATCCCCAATTATCAGTGCTCCTGCTTCCTTTGAACCCTGCCCCCGGGGGCTCTGTTCATTGGATCGGTTGCTTAGAATTTTAGTTTCTTTAGATCAAGTATTATTTCAACTTTAAGTATTTTTCCTTCTGTCAACCAAAAAGAGAATTACCATCATATAGTCAAATAAAAAGCCATTTCCATTCCCTCTGAAGTGCTATTTTAGTGACATTAAGGCCTAAGATAATTGGTATTTGATGGTCAGTGGTTTACAAAATAATGAGCCTTTTCTCTTGGAACCACTTGGATATTATACTTTATCCAAAGAATGCTGACTTTGTGAGAGACAGCTAACATTTTTCTATTTAGAGAGGAAGGGAGGAAGTGAGTTAAGAGGTCATAGTTCCTTCCTATAATGAAAGACAGAGATTGGGGGTGGGGGGTGAAGAAGCCTCTTCTCTGCATGTAGGACAGTCCTACAGAACACCCCTTTTTATGCTATCATGTATCTCCATGTGGCCAGCATTTAAGGTGTAAATCAGATTTGCGGTTCTAGATTGGATTGCATTTTTAAAAGCTTCAAGATTTGTTTTATTTACAGTGAGAGCCACAGCTTTAGTTCACCTTTGCTGCACAATATAATCACCATAAGTTTAGTGACCTAAAAGAATAACAGTTTAATATTTCTCATGATGCTGTGGGTTGGCTAAGGAGTTCAGCTGCTCTCGCCTGGGCTCACTCGTGCAGTTGCACTGAGCAGATGGTTCTGCTGTACCTCTTGCTCCACGTGGTCTTCCATTCTGGGCTTCTTTACCCTTTGGTGATCTCAGAAGAGCATCTCAAGAGAGAAAGCTCCAATGCACTAGTACTTTTGAAGCCTTTGCTTGCATCATCTTTGCTGATAACCCATTAGCCATCACAAGTCACTTGGCTAAGCCCTGAGTCAGTATGGGAAGGAACTACACAGGGGCATGGACACTGGGAGATGTGATTTGCCAGGGGCCATTACTGTGACACAGACCTCTCCTACTCTCTGTTGGTCCTAATGAAGTCCGTATAGTTCTTTTTGTGCCATTTATCAGACAACCATCCATCCATAAAGCCACTTTAAAAGGTGTTGCTTTTAAATAACCTGTCCTTTACAGTGCTTCCAAGCTTTCCTGTACTTGGTCAATATTCTGTTTTTCCTCCTAGTCTTTTCTTTGAAGTGATTCCCAAGGGTGACTAGAAAATTAGCAAAGTTAAAATGGATGCAGTAAAAAGTACACAGCTAATAAGGGACAGATTCAGGATGTTTTGTTACTATCAGTTTTTAATTCATTTGCTAAGTTCAGCAAATATATACTGAAGCTGCATGTGGCCCTGGGACCCAGTGACTCAAACCAAAACCGCCTGACTCCAGGGCGCAGGGGTCGTAATATACCTGCTGCTCTCTGGGACTACGGGTACTAGTAGGGGCAAAATTATATTTCTTGCCTCACTTTCTTATTTTGCTTTGAATTAACTAAAAGAGGCAGAACCTCTCTCTTCTTCTGTGGCAAACTTAGGGACCACAATTTTAAGACAACAGTGTCTCAACCCAGAAGGAACCTGGACCCCCAAGTCACCACTTAGAGAACCATCAAGGAGACCAGTTCTACCTCTGTATATTATGATGTGAGTGAGAAATAAACCACTGTTGTGCTAAATCAATTTTTTAAAAAAAGAGGCCGGGCGCGGTGGCTCACACCTGTAATCCCAGCACTTTGGGAGGCCGAGACAGGTGGATCACGAGGTCAGGAGATCGAGACCATCCTGGCTAACACGGTGAAACCCCGTCTCTACTAAAAATACAAAAATTAGTCGAGCATGGTGGCAGGCGCCTGTAGTCCCAGCTACTTGGGAGGCTGAGGCAGGAGAATGGCGCGAATCCGGGAAGCGGAGCTTGCAGTGAGCCGAGATCACACCCCTGCACTCCAGCCTGGGCAACAGAGCAAGACTCCATCTCAAAAAAAAAAAAAAAGAAAGAAAAAAGAAAAACAAGGCAGAGCCTAACGGTTAAGCAAAAACGGTCAGTTTTTGCTTCCTGCACTTAGTAGTAATGAACTCCAGTTACTAAGTGCAAGATGTTTTCTAGTAACTGCAGAATGTTTGATGTTTTTTGATCATTTGGGACACATATGTTTAAATCAGTAAACTATTTAGTACCCTGAAGAGAAGACTCTTGAATTAAAATGATCAGTATGCAACGGTATACCTGTAACTTGAGGACAAAAGTAAAGCTTTTACTATTTTGAATATCCTTCCTTCTCCCCCAAATAACTCCCTATTATGTCACTCTTCCACTGTCTGTATGCACCATACCAAATCCAAAAGAGCCCTATGGAGAACACTTTTTTTATATACTTTAAGTTTTAGGGTACATGTGCACAACGTGCAGGTTTGTTACATATGTATACATGTGCCATGTTGGTGTGCTGCACCCATTAACTCATCATTTACATTAGCTATATCTCCTAATGCTATCCCTCCTCCCTCCCCCCAACCCCACAACAGGCCCCGGTATGTGATGTTCCCCTTACTGTGTCCATGTGTTCTCATTGTTCAATTCCCACCTATGAGTGAGAACATGCAGTGTTTGTTTTTTTTTGTCCTTGCGATAGTTTGCTGAGAATGATGGTTTCCAGCTTCATACATGTCCCTACAAAGGACATGAACTTATCATTTTTTATGGCTGCATAGTATTCCATGGTGTATATGTGCCACATTTTCTTAATCCAGTCTATCATTGTTGGACATTTGGGTTGGTTCCAAGTCTTTGTCATTGTGAATAGTGCCTCAATAAACATACGTGTGCATGTGTGCTGCTTTATAGCAGCATGATTTATAATCCTTTGGGTATATACCCAGTAATGGGATGGCTGGGTCAAATGGTATTTCTAGTTCTAGATCCCTGAGGAATCGCCACACTGTCTTCCACAATGGTTGAACTAGTTTACAGTCCCACCAACAGTGTAAAAGTGTTCCTATTTCTCCACATCCTCTCCAGGACGTGTTGTTTCCTGACTTTTTAATGATCGCCATTCACTGGTGTGAGATGGTATCTCATTGTGGTTTTGATTTGCATTTCTCTGATGGCCAGTGATGATGATGCATTTTTTCATGTGTCTTTTGGCTGCATAAATATCTTCTTTTGAGAAGTGTCTGTTCATATCCTTTGCCCACTTGTTGATGGGGTTGTTTTTTTCTTATAAATTTGTTTGAGTTCTTTGTAGATTCTGGATATTAGCCCTTTGTCAGATAAGTAGATTGCAAAAATTTTCTCCCATTCTGTTCACTCTGGTTGGCTGTTCACTCTGATGGTAGTTTCTTTTGCTGTGCAGAAGCTCTTTAGTTTAATTAGATCCCATTTGTCAATTTTGGCTTTTGTTGCCATTGCTTTGGGTGTTTTAGACATGAAGTCCTTGTCCATGCCTATGTCCTGAATGGTATTGCCTAGGTTTTATTCTAGGGTTTTTATGGTTTTAGGTCTAACATTTAAGTCTTTAATCCATCTTGAATTAATTTTTGTATAAGGTGTAAGGAAGGGATCCAGTTTCAGCTTTCTACATATGGCTAGCCAGTTTTCCCAGCACCATTTATTAAATAGGGAATCCTTTCCCCATTGCTTGTTTTTGTCAGGTTTATCAAAGATCAGATAGTTATAGATATGTGGCATCATTTCTGAGGGCTCTGTTCTGTTCCATTGGTCTATATCTCTGTTTTGGTACCAGTACCATGCTGTTTTGGTTACTGTAGCCTTGTAGTATAGTTTGAAGTCAGGTAGCATGATGCCTCCAGCTTTGTTCTTTTGGCTTAGGATTGACTTGGCAATGTGAGCTCTTTTTTGGTTCCATATGAACTTTAAAGTAGTTTTTTCCAATTCTGTGAAGAAAGTCATTGGTAGCTTGATGGGGATGGCATTGAATCTATAAATTACCTTGGGCAGTATGGCCATTTTCACGATATTGATTCTTCCTATCCATGAGCATGAAATGCTCTTCCATTTCTTTGTATCCTCTTTTATTTCGTTGAGCAGTGGTTTGTAGTTCTCCTTGAAGAGGTCCTTCACGTCCCTTGTAAGTTGGATTCCTAGGTATTTTATTCTCTTTGAAGCAATTGTGAATGGGAGTTCACTCATGATTTGTCTCTCTGTCTGTTATTGGTGTATAAGAATGTTTGTGATTTTTGCACATTGATTTTGTATCCTGAGACTTTGCTGAAGTTGCTTATCAGCTTAAGGAGATTTGGGGCTGAGACGATGGGGCTTTCTAGATATACAATCATGTCATCTGCAAACAGGGACAATTTGACTTCCTCTTATCCTAATTTTTTTTTGAGACGGAGTCTTGCTCTGTCACCCAGGCTGGAGTGCAGTGGCGCGATCGTGGCTCACTGCAACCTCCACCTCCCAGGTTCAGGCGATTCTCCTGCATCAGCCTCCCAAGTAGCTGGGACTACAGGGGCCCACCACCAAGCCCAGCTAATTTTTTGTATTTTTAGTAGAGACGGGGTTTCACCCTGTTAGCCAGGATGATCTCGATCTCCTGACCTCGTGATCCACCTGTCTCGGCCTCCCAAAGTGCTGGGATTACAGGTGTGAGCCACCGCGCCCGGCCAGAGAACATATTTTTAACTATATACATTATTGAGCAGGTACAGCTATGCAGGCATCAGTTGGTCAAAAAAGTGTTATTGGGCAATGCCTGCAGTTCCTTGCCTTTTGCCTGATTCAGGGCAATTTATTATTTATTTCTGTATTTAATGAACATCTCTGGAGCACACATACACATATGTCTCATATATATGTATTTACTAATTTAAGCAGTGTAACAACTCTGTGAGGTGTTGACTGTAATCACCACCATTTTACAGAAGGAGAAATTGAAATTAACATGTGTCCAAGGTGACAAAAGTAGTAAGTGGTAGAGCCAAGATTTGAGCTCTGATAACCTTGCACCAAAGTCTACATTCTTAAGCACCATTCTGTGCTAATTTGTTTAGCATGGGTGCAGCTTGCTTTGCTGCCTCATTTTTTCCCAAGGCAAAAGAGCCCTTGATTTCTTGACTGACACAGCACCATTTTGTCCCCACCTTTCTCACCATGTGCTTCAGTGAGTCTGTTAACAGCTCCTCTTGATCCTATTGTTATTTACCCTTATGTTGCGATATTTACTACCTTTTCGAAGTTGTTGTCTCATGAGACCCATTTATATTGCAAACACTTCCCTTCTGGAGCTAGAACTAGTGTCATCACATGCTTTTTATAGTTCCCTTCCTAGATGGCTAAAGTCTGGGAGATAGCACAGTCATCCTGACCCCATGCAACTGTTCCTTGTCCTTCCTTCTCATGCATATGTAGCTGGGAATTGCTCAGACTGCAATATCAATAGGCAATTCTCACCTGCTATGTAAACTCCTAAATGCCTCATGCTGTGAAGGTGATCAGTTAAGTTCAAATCAAAATTTGATTGGACCATTTTAAAATACTGTTTTTAAAAATCAGGTACTTTCATACTTAACATTGATGTATGTATTCTTTCTAAAGCAAATTAAAATTTGATCAAACAATTACATTCTGAATAAGATTCAAATTAAGTCAGAAATACCCAGTCAAACCCAATGACTAAATGATTAATTTCAAAAAATAATTCTCTGTCCCATCCCAAACCTATTTTCTTATGACTCATTTCTTCTCATTGGCTGTGTCATCAAAGAACAAAGTAAAGTGAAATTTGGCAGTTGGCCAGTTAATTAAAGACTTGGCCCAAGTATTTGGGCCACAAAATTACTTTGTAATCCCAATTTTCTGTTTTGACTTTTTATGATTCAAATGAATGGAATAATTGCCACATTTTCACTTTACTGTGAGTTTTATAGACCTAGCAGCATTATCTGCAGGATGGCAAATGTCTGAACTAAAAGTTAGCATTTAAAGAAATCCATTTGGATGTTTTCAGGTTTTTACACATTCGGATCTGAATAGGCTCAGTTAAGATGTGAACAAGGGATATCTATTATTTCATGGGATTCTTCTGAAATTGATCCTCTTAAGAGCATTCATCTCAGACCCCACAGCCCCAAGGCCAGATCATTTAATACATAATGAAGGAGAGAAAAATGTGAACAGCATGACATTTTCTCAAACTACTCATGTTTTACCAAAAGAAAAGGTAGAAAAGGCATTGTAAAGTTTTCCCTATTTCTATGTGTGGTAACATAGAGACTAAATACTTCTTTCAGTCTCCAGCAGCAAAAATAGCAACCTATTAAGATCAGCACCCACACTGGTTAGCTCTGGTGAGGAGAACTTGTACTAATGAGGCCCTGGTCAGGGATTTAATGCCCATGGGATCCAATTAGCTTCACACAGGATGAGACTCTGAGCCCAGTCAGGATGTAGGCTCATCCCAGCTGCTTCTGCTAATGCCCATGCTCTTTTTCACACAGGACATCACTGCCCAGGCCTCATCATCTGACTTGGCAGCAGCCTCCTAACTAGTCTGCCTGCCTCTCTCCTGGTCAGTCGTTCACGTGTACTGTGGGAGGTACACATTCTCCTCTAGGCTTTAAAGGCCATGGTTATACAACTCACCCTTTTCTTCTGATCACTCCACTCTCCCAGTGTTTCCTAATACAGATTTGGTACTTGATTTGGCCAGTGTCATCTCTGCACCCACATGCATCAGGAAAAACAACCCAGCCCTATGTCTGCTCCGACTGTTCCCCAGCCTTCCTGCTACAACACCCAGTCAAGTTCTTGCTCCTTCATAACACTGCCATCAACCATACCAGTCTGCACTAATGGTTCCCCAAACTCCAACAATACTTAGTCTCTTTCATACACAACATACAGTTTTGCCATGCTCCCTATTGTCCCCTCTGCATAAGTCTCATCTCCATGATTGTGTTGTAACTTGACTGTATGCCCTGTGGCTTGTGCTTCTCCTCCATCCCTAATCCTGGTCCGGTAAGTTTCACAAAGTTGGTGCTTAACACAAAGGTTTTGGCTAAATAATCAAAGGAGTGCTACATTAGAACAAGTAGCTCTATCCTGCTACCACACCACAACCACCAGGGAAGAAAACTCAGAGCATTTATCACCAGCTACCCTCCTCTCAAGAGATTTTTTATTTATTTTTTTGTAATACAAAGAATACTACATTACCGTTCCACAAAATGAGAGCAACTCCAAGAAACCTTAACATGCTCATCATTCTTAAATCTGTAATACAGTTGGTGAGCAGTACATTTTTTAGAGCAAGTTTTTTTGGAATTATTTAATTATGCATAATAATTTTTGACCACTATTGTTTAATAAAACAGGGCAGTGTGGAAGAATTCGCTATTTGGGAATTAAAAGAGATTATTTATTTTAAAAAATGAAAAATTTGAAATGTAGATTATTTCAGAGCTATTACACATTTATCATTTTAGACATTTTCTAAATGAAGGGTATTTCCAGTATGGATCCAAATCTATTTTAGTCAATTTGATATGAACAATTGTCATAAAAATAGTTACTTCACAAAGGAATGCCATTATTGGAAGTTTTTCTTAAGTTTACCAATGATCACTCTGCAACTGATTTTACTGTTAAGTTGACTTAGCAACCCTTTTACCACAAAAGTTTCAAAGATAATATGATTAGGGTCTACATTTATATGATCATATTAATGAATCATGAGAACATATTTATTTGTACATACGTTTTTCACTGCATTTTTCCACAGTCATGGTCTATTTCTACTCAATCAAATGTTTTTGACAGATACATTACCACAAAGCAAGATTCTTGAGTTTTCAGAAAGAAATTAGTTGGTTTAATTGCTGCTTATAAAGTTGCCATTGTGACTGGGTTACTGGTAGACTAAACTAAAAGTATCTCAAAGGAAGGGGTCATATCCAAATTTATGGGAGAAACATCTAACATCCAACACAGTACAGAGTGCCTGATACATACTTGGTACTCTTAAACTGGGCAGAGCAAAGTTAAAGCATAAAATTACATTTTAATATAATATCTCACGGCATTAAAATCATAGCTGTATGATAACTGTTAACAAAGTCTGTTTGGGGAACTGAAGATGTTAGGAACAGAGAGGAAGCTGACATCAGATGTTTCTCTTCTCAGCATCTGGAAGGCGATAGATTTGAGCTCTGAGTTTCAGGTCTCCCTAAATTATCCATGCCCAGCATTGTGTAAATCTAACAGAAAAATAAAATAAAAAAAAGCCTATGAGTTATAAATTTCAAAGAAAGAGCTTTATAGAAGCCTTGAGAATGCTGCTTTTTTTTTTTTTTTTTTTAACAAAATCGTAAAATCCTCAGCAGCTGCCTCCCAGCACCACTGCTTAGATGTCTCCTGTTTGGGTACAGCTCCCCTGATGGCCAAAATTGGCCTAGGTGGTCCTGCCTCATGCTTCCATATGGCTCTGTGCTCAACGCAGGCAAAGCATGTTGAAATGGGCTGTGTATATCCAGCTAAGCTCACAGAGGGCACAGGCTGTGTCCCGTTCATTATCATATCTCAAATGCTTGACCCAGTGCCTGGTATAGAATAACTGAGTGAATGAATACTGCTTTTTTTGGTGGGAATAAATATATGAAGACAAATACAGTAATATATATATATATTTTTAATGGGAGTAGTAGCCTACCAACAAATTTGGTCTTGAATTTGCTTTTTTTTTTTTTCGAGACAGACAGAGTCTCGCTCTGTCTCCCAGGCTAGAGTGCAGTAGCGCGATCTCCGCTCACTGCAAGCTCTGCCTCCTGGATTCACGCCATTCTCCTGCCTCAGCCTCTCAACTAGCTGAGAATACAGGCACCTGCCACCACGCCCAGCTAATTTTTTTGTATTTTTAGTAGAGATGGGGTTTCACTGTGTTAGCCAGGATGGTCTCGATCTCCTGACCTCGTGATCTGCCTGCCTTGGCCTCCCAAAGTGATGGGATTACAGGCGTGAGCCACCGTGCCTGGCCGAATTAGCATTTTATAATAATTATCCAAAAATCGTCTACCCGTCGGTAATAGCCTAAGCATATAAAGACTTCCTGCAAGAAGATAATAAAAAAAAATACAAAGACTCCACAAGCTACATGAACAAAGGATTTAATTAAGCAATTCACAGAAGAGAAATTACAAATGGCAAACAAATATGAATAAAAATTCTTCTACCTCAGTAGTCACTTTTTAAAACTGTACCTAAATAATGAGATACAATTTAGTATAAAACCTTGTATGGAGTGAAATGGACCATCACATTTACTTCAGTGAAAATCTGTCATACCTTTATACACTCATACATATGCACACACACATGCACACACCCCAAACTTAGGCCTTTTCACCCAAGAATTCTAATCTCAGGAAATAGAAATGTGATTGGCTATTTGTGTACAGGGAGATTATTGTTTCACTGTTATGTGTCACAGCAATGTATTGGAAGCACCTTAATATTTAACAGCAGAGAAATGGTCAAGTAACTCATCTATATAATAGACAATTAATGAAGCTATTACACAGCATAAGAATATGCTCACAATGCAGTTAAGGGAAAAAAGCAAGATGCAAAACTGAATATACACTATGCTTCCATATATAAAAAGGAAAAAAAAAACTGAATATGCAGTATGCTTCTATAGATAGATACAAAAGAAAAAAACCCCAGCAACTCTCATTCTATTGTTTCTGTGAGTTTGATGTTTGTAGATTCCACGCATAAGTGAGATCATGTACAATAGTAAAATATAGTTGAGTATCTCCTGGTGCAGAGATTATGTGTGTTCCTTCCTTATTTTTTCCCTTTTAATATTTTTCAAGACTTTTTACAATGAGCACAGAAAAAAATGTTTGTAAGAAAGCTTTCTTTGAAGATTCACCATCCAGAGCTAGTATTTTCAATGTGATGAACAAGAGTTCATCCTGTACACATCCAGTAGCTGGTCAGGAACTCTACAGAGGAAGGCATGACTGTCATCTTCTGTTGACCCCTTCCTCTCAAGGTCTTGTAAGTGCTCTTTTTACTTCCTTGCACTGGGGACGGGACTATGCTTGTGTCTACCAATGGCAAGATTTTGTCCCCCCTAGCTTTACTGAGGTATGATTGACAAATAAAAAGTATATCTATTTACAGTGTATAACATGATGTTTTGATATATGTATACACTGTGAAATGATTACTAAAATCAAGTTAATCAATATATCCATCACCTCACATAGTTATCATTTTTTTCTGATGACATTTAAGATCTACTATCTTCGCAATTTTCAAGTATACCTCGTTATGATCTGTACTCACCATGGTGTACAGTAGATTTCCAAAAGTTACTCATGCTGTCCAAGTGAAACTGTAACCTTTGACCAACATCTTCCCATTCTCTCTCCTTCCTAGATCCCCTGGCAACTATCATTCTACTCTCTGTTTCTATGAGTTCGGTATTTGTAGATTCCACCTATAAGTGAGATCATGTAGTATTTGTCTTTTTGAGAGAGAGATATATCACATTTTCTTTATCCATTCATTCTTCAGTGGACACACACTTAGGTTGATTCCATATTGTGGCTACTGTGAATAGTGCTGCACTGAGCATGGGAGTACAGCTACCTCTTCAATGTACTGATTTCATTTCCTTTGGATATATATCCAGAAGTGGAATCTCTGGATCCTATGATAATTCTATTTTTAGTCTTTTGCGGAACCTTCATACTGTTTTCCGTACTGGCTGTACTATTTTACATTCTCACCAACAGGGTACAAGGGTTCCCTCTTCTCTGCATCCTCACCAACACTCATTATCTTTTGTCTTTTGAAAACAGCCATTCTAATAGGTATGAGGTCATATCTCATTGTGGTTTGGTGGGGTTTTTAAATTTATGTTTTTATTTTTTGAGACATGGTCTCACTCTGTTGCCCAGGCTGGAGTGCAGTGGCGTGATCATGGCTCACTGAAGCCTTGACCTCCTGGGGTCAAGTGACCCTCCCACCTCAGCCTCTCATGTAAGTGGGAGGACAGGCACATGCCACTATGCCCAGCTAATTTTTTTGTGGAGATGGGATCTCACTATGTTGCCCAGGCTGGTCTTGAACTCCTGGCCTCAAGTGATCCTCCCACCTGAGCCTTCCAAAGTGCTGGGGTTATAGGTGACAGCCACTGTGCCTGGCTCATTGTGGTTTTAATTTGCATTTCCCTGATGATTAGTGATGCTGATCATTTTTTTCATATTCCTATTGGCTATCTGCATGTCTCCTTTTAAGAAATGTCTATTCAGGTCCTTTCCCCATTTTTAATTGGGTTATTCGTTTTCTTGCTATTGAGCTGTTTTGAGTTCCTTACATATTTTGGGTATTAAACCTTATCAGATATGTGATCTGCAAAACTGGCAAGGTCTGGAGAGTGTAACCAGTGTGCTCTGTCACTCACACAGCAACCCTGATCTCCGGAGAACTGAGCCCATCTTGGAGAGCCCCTTGCAGAGGACCAGCAGTGGCAGTTCCTCCAGCTCCAGCACCCCTAGCTCCCAGCCCAGCTCCCAAGGAGGCTCCCAGCCTGGATCACAAGCAGGATCCAGTGAACGCACCAGAGTTCGAGGTAAAACTTTCTCTTACCTTTACCTGGCAATACTGCCTGGGAGGAAAGCTGTGGACAGGGAAAAAGGTTAGTTACTTCCTGACTCTAGTCCAGGCATGGCCACCACTGTGTGATCCTGAAGAGCCTGTCAACTGCTCTCAACCCCAGTCTCCTCGGGAGTGGGCCACTGTCCCTAATTGTGTGTGTGCCATCAGTATGGACAAAATCCTTTCTAATCTCAGATACCAGTGTTTTCCAGGGAGATCACCAAATATCAGTCTTATTTGAAAATACAGTCACTTACCAGTCACCTGAATTTCTGTTTCTGTTTGATTGCCGGTTTTTAGAGTTTCATGTACCCACAAATGTCCTGAACGCATTGCACCAATTGTCCTGTTTAGTATTCTGAACATAGTTCATATACACAGTTCAGAATACCATGTATTTCTCAAAATGAAATTCAGTAAAGACTAATGTAGAATACACTTGAAGGAAGGAATAAAATCTTTGACTTAAAAAGCATATTTAGGCCGAGTGTGGTGGCTCACGCCTGTAATCCCAGCACTTAGGGAGGCCAAGGCAGGCAGATCACCTAAGGTCGGGAGTTCCAAGATCAGCCTGACTAACATGGAGAAACCCCATCGCTACTAAAAATACAAAAAATTAGCCTGGCGTGGTGGTGCATGCCTGTAATCCCAGCTACTCGGGAGGCTGAGGCAGGAGAATCGCTTGAACCCAGGAGGCAGAGGTTGTGGTGAGCCAAGATCACGCCATTGTACTCCAGCCTTGGCAACAAGAATGAAACTCCATCAAAAAAAAAAAAAATTGTTGACTCCTCTGGTTATTCCTATTAAGTAAAAATTAGCCTCTCTAAATATTTAATTCAAATTATTCATCATTGTTTAGTTTCCAGTAATGGGGAGGCCTATGAAAAACATTATTATTTCCAGGTGCTGATACATAATAATACATTGTTTCTAGCTAGTTAAAATTCACTCCTTCTGAATCAACTTCTTCAGAAGATAATTTTGCTTCTAAGTGATGAAGACCAGTACTTTAATTGCAATTTGACAAATATTAACATACTTATAAGTTTCTCTGTCTGATGAAAGCCTCATGAGAACCTTCAGTTCTTTTTTCTTTCTTAGACTCTTTATTACATACCACCTCCTAATACCCTTAGTTTATCTCCTAACACCCTTTCAGGGTTTTAAATAAATCACTCTATTTCCATTTTAAAAAGCTTGATATCTAACATGTGATTGATGTTCACGTCTCTGGATTGGGATATGGACTAGCCAACAGCTGCCTCTATATGCATTCTTCTGATTAGTGGCACATCTCAGAAGTATCTACTGTATGTCTTTGTTGCCTTGATCGAAATATAAATTTCCTTAATTTAGAAAACTACCAGATGTAGTGGCTTACGCCTGTAGTCCTAGGTACCCGGAAGGCCGAGGTAGAAGAATTGCTTAAGCTCAGGAGTTCAAGGCTGCAGTGAGCTATGATGGCCCCACTGCGCTCCAGCCTAGGTGACAGAGCCCCATCTCTAAAACACCTAAAGAAAGAAAACAGCCATTCTGTTATCTTTTTTCTATTTATAGGCAACTTCATATTCTTAGAGCAAATATTTAAATAAACCAAACTTAAACGCATACCATTTTAATTCTCTGGTCTGGTTCAGGCTTACTTTTTATTTCCTTCAGCCCCTCGTTCTTCCGGATTAAAAGGGCTGTTGTATCCCTGGTATGTCCCTGTCCAAGAAAGACTACTTTTTAAGAAATAAAAACCACCTCTCCTACCCTAAATTGCATCTTCTCTATCTGTAAGCTCATAGACTGCAAAGATGCTATTCACTCTGCAGCTGTCAGGGTCCCCTTGACCTTGCTCTGTACCTCCAGCCTAGGGCCCTTCTCCTATAACAACCCCCTTCTTGCCCTCACCTCATTCTTTTATTTTTAAAGGGCTGAGACCACTCCCATCTCCAATTAAAAACCGTTCCACCAAATAAAATAAATTTTTTTTCCCTCACAAAATTTCAACAAAATAACCTATCCTGATTGGACAAATGATAAAAGAAGAAAACAAGCATAGAACCTTAGAGGCTCATTTAGCATAGTGACTGAGAATAGGACTTTCAGAAATCAGAACTCCAGCTCTGTCTATAATTTCAGTGTGACCTCCGGACAGTTGTGTCATCTTTGTAAATCTGTGTTCTGTAAAATAGGAGAATAGTGCCATATCATTGGGTTGGAGTGAGGATTAAATGAGATAATTGACATGGAAAGCATTTAGCACTATGCCTGACACATAAGAAGTGCTCTAGTGGTGATAGTACTTGCTACATTTCTTTTTTTTTTAATTGTTACTAGTGATTTCCAGGTCACAAGCCTAAATGTGTTTGCCTGAACATTATATTTTTCATGGATGTTTCTTGAGGATTTGCCCAGGTGAATGACGTGTCCACTGAGTAATCTCAATGTGATGACACATCACAGATAATTCATTCAGAACTTGAGCCAGCACTTTTTGATGGCCATCTCTTTCTTGGTCCTCTGTTTTTTTCCTCTAGCCAACAGTAAGTCAGAAGGATCACCTGTGCTCCCCCATGAGCCTGCGAAGGTGAAACCAGAAGAATCCAGGGACATTACCCGGCCCAGTCGACCAGCTGTGAGTGCTTTTCTCTCCAAGAGTTTTGAACTCTTAATTTACCAGAGAACCCACAGGATTAAGTAGTTGGGGATACACTCATGATGCAAACAAAAATTGTTGAGATTAGTAAGAACGGATGCTAGAAACATCCCGAAGAAAGTCATACCTGATTAGGAAAGAACCGAAGAGATCTTGGATTGACTCCTCTGCCTTTGGCTATTTGCTGATCATTAGCAGTCCTTTAACTATAAAACAGGAAGAGAAACAACTCCTATCATTCCATAATTTCTACTCAGCAACTTTGGCAAAAAGATGTTGAAAGTAGCAGTTAAAGAGACTTGGGTACTTTCTATGAACTTCTCTAATCTCTTCTACTCTTTCCCCATATTATTTTCCACATGAATTAATATTACAGTTTTTCTGCTATTTTTCATGCCTCCAGGACTATATTTTCTGGACCAAACTTTTTAAGCAGGGTCCAACAGGCGTCGTAACAACTTAGCATCCAGCTTCACTGCTGTAACATGATAGACCCCCAGGTAGCCTTAAAGAGGAGTATGGAGGCTAAAATTTGAAAGTTGAAAATTAATTTGGGATGAATTACTATCCATTTTTTCTATTTAAATCTCTTGAGAATCTTTTCTGTAAAATGAACGTGAAGCTTTTTGGTTTACTCTTTTTTAACATCTTAAAGTAACGACGTATACCGAGAGTAATAATGAAGGGATTTGCATCATTCTGGATTGACATTCTCTTCGCCCTTTTGTATTTATCAGTTGCGTACTAACAATTACAATTTTGTGTCTAATCTGCTGCCTTTCTGCTGGCTTTTCCTCCTTCTGTGGATTCTTCTGGATTGGGTTCCTCTCATTTCAGAGCTACAAAAAAGCTATAGATGAGGTTAGTATTACCTTTTCTTGGTCATGCTTTCACAAAATGTAAATATTAAACTTATTTCCTAATGTTGACATTCAGAAAGGTGGCCAATGGGAGCAATCAGCTGGGAGGAGATTTGTAGCAATCTGCTGGGAGGAGTGCCCCTTCAAATGGAAGCCAACTTTAAGACCCTCAAACCTACCCATATAGCTTCAGAGACCTTCCTTCTAAGCTAAAATGTCACTTTTCCAATGTTCCAGTCTGGCTAATGACAAGTATTCATGCTTTATTAATGGCAGTTTCTCCTTCCAGTATCTTCCAATAGCAAACCTGTACTTGCCAGCCTTGCTAGGGAATGGCTCTCAGCAGTTTTACTAACAAGAAAAGAGACATCATTCTAGGACACTCCAAATTTAGAGTGTGTGATTTGTGAACAAGGAGTTAGTAGGTATTGTTAGATTAATTTTGTGGGACATTAACAACAGCATCAGAAGCAACATCAGCTTTAGTTAATGAATCCTGGAAAGTTAAGTGACTTTATTTCCTTGTCTGTGGAGACGTTTTCCATTAGAAAAATATATGGCTTTGTCAGTTGTAGGTAGCTTGCTAAGAAGGATGACTGCCTTACTGCTATTTGTCAGACCTGCATGAATACAGCAGAGTAGAATTTGTTTTTTTAAGATCCAGGCCTTGCAAAGAGTCCTAAATGCATGGAATCTAAAGACTACCATCATGGCTTTAAAGCTGTAGCTCTGCTGAGCACTACTTTTGTGAAATTTAATGGAAAAAGCACTGGCTTTGAGGTCAGCAAGCTGCATTCAAATCTTGGCTCCCCCAGTAAATAACTGGCTGAGACTAGTCTCATAACCTCACTGGGCCAGAGTTTCCTCATCCATAAAATGAGAATAAAAACACCTCCCCATCCCACTTACAAGATTGTTTAGGATCATTTAAGGTAATGTGTGTGAAAGCATTTTATGTGTAACATTGCTGCAGAAAGCCAAGGGTTTGATTAAGGTTTGGGCCAGAGGCATGGAGCTATTTTGGCAGGTAGGAGAAGCATGTTTCCATGTATCTGGTCTTCACCGAAGAGCCTCACTTTTTCAGACTTATGGCCACCTCACCACCCAGAGTGACGAGACAGTTATGATCATAGTTGAAGGATTGTTGCTTATAAAAGAATGAGACTCCGCATGTTTGCGGTGTGTGGATGGCATTTATAGAAAGGGAAGAGGAGAGTGTGTTTTTAATTGCTCTGTGCCGTGGCCTTGCTTGCCCCTCTCTCTCATAATAGTGAGAAGGGCAGGGATTATCACAACTTTTGTCAGTTTTCTCCCAGAACAGGTAAAGAAAGACAGTGAAGTTCTGGTGCTACAGTTGCCAATAAAATGGCTGTGCATGTGCAGAACTCAAGAGGAATTACATGAGTTCAGAAATTGGCTTGGAGGGGCCGTCATTAAGGAAAAGGCTCTCACAGATTTCATCTGATTAACCCAGAATATTTTAGGCTTTGAAAAATTGCTCTACTTTTTTTTGGTGTACTGCACCACACTGGACAGAGATGAGAGGGGGCAATGGAGGTATACGTAATTACAAATAATTGAGGGGGTGTGAGCTGCATACTAAAATCTCTGGAGCCATGTATGGTTGGAAAAGCCCTCCAGGTGACTATCCTGATCTCTTGAGTATCACTGATCCAAACCACTAAAATAAAGCGGTTCTACCTAACCCAGTGGCTCTCAACCACGGCTGATTCCTCCACTCCTCTTCCCTTAGGAGACATTTGGCAAAATCTGGAGACAGTTTTGGTTGTCACCACTTCAGAGTAGCAGGCAGTGGTACTGGCATCTTGTGGATAGAGCAGAGGGGTGCTGCTGCCAAACATCCCGTGGTGCACAGAGAACTCCCTACAATAAAGAATTATCTGGCCCAAAATGTCAACAGGGCCATAATTGAGAAACTTTGAACTACACCTTTCTCCCTTCTCCATTCATAGGTTTTGGTAGGGCTTCCCTCTCAACGACTGTTTTTGCAATTTAGATAACTGGGATTGAAATGAAAAATCTGAAAATCACTTTTGAAATATTGTCGCTTGTTATTGCTAATGATTTAACTTTTTATAAAAATTAATTTGGGGGAGTGTACATTAATGTGACATTGCTTTCTAATGGAATATGAGATTTTGCAGCATAGTCTATTTAATATAGTCTTTGAATATAGTCTTTGAAAATAAATGGGTTTTCTCTGTTGGCACAATTAAATATGTGACACAAAGATTATACACGTAAGAAAACACTGTTTTTACCGCTGTTTTTTATTAGTATGTGGGCATCAAAAATTTCAAAGCACATCAATTTAGATTGGATGGAAGGTGAACAATAACTAGGGGTTCAACCCCCTTTTCCCTCAGATGAGGATATTGAAACTAAGTGGCTTGCCCAATGTCATATCTTTAGAGTTCCTAAAAAGAAAATAGTTTAATACAAAGAGAAAAAAAAGCTAAAAATTTTTAAACAATAGTTCAAAAATTGAACTAATATTTATTTGAATAAACTATATTGTTTCTAAAAAGGGACCTAAAAGAGCGCCTTTTTAGTCAAGATGTGCATAATAGTTAACCTTTGTTGAATGAAAAATTATATCTAGTTGATTCTAAAAACTGTTAAGCCTCGTAGCTATCTTCACATTTACTCTGTAGTCAAAAAATCTTACCATCTTGCCATATTTCTTTTTTAGCTATATATTCTCAAATATTTTCATGCTAAATAGCACTTATTTTGTTTTTTAAATACTTTTTAGCTCCAGGCTTGTGACAGCCAAGTAATAAATTACCAAGAAGGCTCATTATATGGAGAAAATTTGTATTGTCAAAGAATAAAATATATGAAAATAGAATTGAACCCAATGGTGTTAATATTAGATTGTGTTTATTTCCTATAACTTTGCTATTATAAATTTTTCAATACTGGACGGATAAGAAACAAAACTTCAGCTAAACACATAGGTTCTTAGCAATGGAAGATTAATTTTCTTTGACTACAGGTATTACTTTGGAATTATTCATTATTTTTACCTTTTCATAGGGATTCTGGTATATGTCTCGCCTCCAAACTGTTAATTGAAAATTTCCTTTAAGTTTAATTGTTATTTCTAATGTTTCAGGGCAGAGAGCTTTTTAGTAACACAGAAGCAAAAAATTCTAATTAAAAGCAAAATTATTAAGCAGTTCAGAACTTTAAAGTGTTTCTAAATACAATGTTTAGAAAAATGTATGTCATTTTAACAAGTGAAAGTTTTTTTAAATCAGTAGCCTGTGGACTAAATATTTCTAAAATAATTTTGATTTTTTAGAATTTCTTTTGTCTCGTTTTGAAATGTCAGAGAAAAGGAAAATAAACCTCTGGGGAAAATGTATCATTAATTAAACCATAGCCAAGAGTATTATATTTTACTCAGAATTATTAACAATAGAGATAAACTCTTTTAAACCATATTCTCTCTTTAAATTATATAAAATGTAATTCTTAATAACAAGTAACATTTTAAATGCTAGCTGTATTCTTTGATGAGACTTAACACAGTCCTAATATATAGATGTCAGAATACAAAATAAATTTATCTAATTTTTCATTATTTCACTGGTTTGGAGGATGATAATATCCTTTTCTTTCATAGCCTTAACAAATATCTAGACTTTATTTTCCCATGGTACTCAAGAATAGCATACCCTTCACTTTCTTCTTCATTTGATAAAGATAAGCATTGACAATTGCCAGGAGGAAATAAGAAGTAAAAGTTGAAATTCAGATATTAGCTTTTCCTATTTTGGCTAATTGCCAAAGAAACCAGAAATTTGCATAACATTATACCTATGTTATGGTTTTCCTCTTCTTTTTATAATATGCATTACATTTAAACAGAGTTGGCCTTCTAAATACAATTCTATTTTCACTTTCACAGATGGAGCAAATACATTCACCGAGATTGAGGCATGTGCAAATGTGCAAATGTGCATGTGTGCAAAAGCCCTAGCCAAGTGTGTTTCTGTATGTAATGCAAAGGTTGAATTTTTAGCAGCTTCCATATTCTAAGGGTTTCAAATCAGGTGTCATCAAGACAAATTTAAAAGCCATTTTGCTTTCCCTTTGATTTCTATGAAATTAGAAAGAAATGACCCTTCAGTTAACACTATGAATTGCCTAAATTTCTAGACCACGTAAAACACCTAAAGTGTTTCCTTTCCTAGTGTGAACCAAAATAGTAATGCCTGACATACAGGTGGCAGTAGAGAAACAATGTTTTGTTGTATTCTCAAAATAAAATTATAATTTAACTATACACATTTATCACAGCTTTTCTTTTAACCGATTAGGATGGATTACCCAATGTCATCACCCAGGTTGCTCTAATCCTACATCAGGTGAATTGGATGCATACATTTCTGGATTGAAATAAAGAGAGAATATGGCCATAGAAAACTGTGGGATTTAGTATTTTTCAATGAGTTTCTTTCTCCCTAATCCCCTGTCTCTCACTGAATGCTCTGATTCCCACATGGGTCACTAATATAGGGAGAAATGGTAAGACTGATGTCAAATTGCTTTTTCCCCATTTGCATGCTGTGTGCCATGGGCAGTTTAACCCATGCAAATTAGAGCGGCCATGCTTTTGCAGAACTGCTTCCCTCTGCATTACTCTGAAAGCATGTAAAATAAAAGGTAGTCGGATATTCAGCACACTGCCTGCAGTATGCCTGGTGATTAAATACCACATCATCACATCCATAAGGCTAAAGGTTTCATCATACTCATGGAAAACTCAAAATTATCTCTTCCTTTTGGTATTTGCACATTCATTTTAGTGTTCTTCACCAGGATTTCTGCCAGATGACTGGAATTTAAAACAAAAGAAAATGAAACACCTATCATTTTGGAAGAGAACTCTTGTTGTTGTTGTTCCTCTTGATTAATTCAGTTCTGTGGCTGTAAATTTCAGTGGCACTAGACTTTAGGATGGGCCATGATTTGATGTGGTACCTCCATTCTCCAGGGAATGATGACACACCAAATGAGTCACTGTAGTAGCTGGAACCTTGGGAGTTGCTCTGTTCTATGGCTGACTGATGGTAAATTTCAGTACAGCAGCAATCATAAGAGGGGAAAAGCCATCACTGTGGCTTGGGCAGGAGTCCCAGAATACTGGGGCACAATTTCTAATCCCACATATTTTCCCATTAACTCTGGGGGTGACCAGCTTCACCTTTCCAAAACAAAATGAGAACCCAATGTTTGTATATATGTGTACATACACATATGTACACATATATATTCAGGACTGAACAGTCTCAGTCTAGCTATTGGTTTTGAAAAAGTTTAAATTGATTTCATCTTTCTTTTCTAGCTTCTACACGCTACAAACATCATTTTCTTAGTTCCATGCAGTAACTATGTTTGTCACAGTTCTATATAGAGCTTTTTTTTTTCTTGTTGCTTAAGCTGGAGCACTGACTTGCTGAGAGATGTAGCTTTGGTCGTATCTACCACTCATATGCTGAACAAATTTTTCTTTCATAGGATCTGACGGCATTAGCCAAAGAACTAAGAGAACTCCGGATTGAAGAAACAAACCGCCCAATGAAGAAGGTGACTGATTACTCCTCCTCCAGTGAGGAGTCAGAAAGTAGCGAGGAAGAGGAGGAAGATGGAGAGAGCGAGACCCATGATGGGACAGTGGCTGTCAGCGACATACCCAGACTGATGTAAGAGAACTACTTTTAAAGTGTAGACCGGGAGGGGACTAGGTTTCCAAAATAAAAGGACAAAAAAATATGAGTTAAATGTAAGATTGTATATGGGTCTGTGGCAAGATAAATTGACTTTCGGGACTTGGGTTTTTGTTGGAGCATAGTTCTATAATTATCTCTATCTATGGACACAATCACTTAGAATATGTAGCATTTTTGGACTGCATACACTTTACCTATCCATTGCCAATGGATTGACTATCCTTTCGGCGACTCTTTCTTGTTCTTTTCATCTTAAGGGCAAACAATATCGACAACCAGACCATTGATACGTGCCTTCCCCTCTAAAACTGAAACACTGAAATCATGGGCAATGACATTTAGGGATTAAAATTAACAACATAAAACATGTATTTCATTACCACCACTGCCACCAACAAGCAAGGAGAAATGCACAAGCCAGCATGCGTTACCATCCCAGCAAAAGAATCAGGACTCAGATAATCATGCAGAGAAAGTTCCAAAATATACCCCGTTATGATTTTCTACTTTATTCCCTTCATGGCTTCTTTTTCTGGATCCATTTTTCTGTGGTCTGTGTCTTTGCCACATACTGTCAGTCTCTTTGCAGTTCTCTTTTTATGTATTTACATGTATATTTATATGTACCTACATTTTCTTTAGTAATTGTAGCCTTTTTCTTTTTTTTTTTTTTTTCAAGGTGAGGAGAAAGTTCATTTTTTTTTTTTCTTATTGGAGTGGATCCCGTGAAAGAACCTACCCTTATCCCCTGTTGCTTCCCCAGTTCCTCCACCTAGTAAGCACAAGGTGTTTGTGCCCTGGTCTCCTACAACTTTGATAGAATGAGATGCTAATTTTTCCATCTTCACACTTCAATCACCTCTATTTCTTTGGCTCAGCTACTAGCATTGATTATCAGTTCACACTCACTCTATATAAAAAAGAAGCCATTTCAGGCCACAAATTATTGTCCACTTCAGCAGGGACTGGAGAGGCAGGGCTGGCCAGTCTAAAGGGAATGTCATTCACTGATTAACATCATTACATACAAGCGATTCTAAGAGGCAAATCTAATTAACGTAGCTGAAAAATCCATACTGGTTATTTTGCTGTTGATGACCCAGTTGCTGACAGCTCTAAATATGCTAAAATATGACATTTTGAAACAAATTGCATTAAATTGCCTTTTTAAAAGTAAATAAAATTGTTCTAGAGGCAAAATCACTAATCCAGAACATTTCTGCAAAACATGCTGGCCCTTTTAGTTTTTGTCTTGACTCAGAATTGCTTAATTCTTCTGACAGATGTTTTGAACTCCTTTTAAGCACTGAGCATGCAAGCATCAGGATGAGAGAAGATTATGAAATTAAAAGGTTGCTAAAACTCTCACTATGTGATAGCCCTGCTGAAGGCTTTAAGAGATCTGATAAGTTCGTACTTGGATTTTGTCTTCCAAAAGTTTATATGCTAGTTGGAGAATGACAAAATTACACATGGAAAACTGCAGGCTAATATAAACATTTGGAGGAACAACCAAAGATGTTCATTAGCATTTGGGTTTTAGGTCCCCTATCATATTTTGCAAGGCTATTAATGGTGTTCACCCTCCTACCTTTAAAGGCAAATCTAGGACTTACTCCCCACTGTAGAAACACCCACCTTTCTAAAATTTCCTGAATAGACCACGCTTCACTTCTGTCTGGCATTTCCTGTTCCTTTAGAAATCACCTACTCACAGCCCCGCCTGCATAGGTAGAGCCTGCCCCCTCTTCTGTGCTACCGCTGTATGTTGTGTGTATTCCTGCATCTTCATGTAGTGCCTTGAATCAGGATTGTTTGTTAGGTCTTTGTCTCCTTTTCTGGACTATGATATCTTTCAGGGTAAGGGTTATGCCTTACTCATCTCTCTTGCTCTTAACACGTTCCATGGTGTCTGGAATACAGTGGGTCTTCAGTGACTATAATTTACATTTAATTGCACTGAATTTGAAATTGCAAGTTCTGACTTTGAAGAGTGTATAGCCAATTCTATACAAATAACTGTCAGCAAGATTAAAAAAAAAAAAATCCTGAGGTAATATTAGAATCCCAAGCAGGGGGAAGAGTTGAAGTAAAGACACAGAAAGTTGACTTTGGTGGGAATGTATGGTGTATACGGTGGAGGGGAGTCTGGACTAGTGAAATCAGACCAAGAAGTGTGCTCTTTATATGTAGCCATTGGAAACCATTGAACGTATCTTGAGTTCAGTGTTATATTTGAGGGAGATTATTTCAGCAAGACGATTTGAAAAGGGAACAGACTGGAGACTGGTAAAGCAATTCAGAGGCGCTATTACTATAATCTGCATAAGAAATAATGAACTGAGGCTATCATGGAATGCTGATGGTGGAGGCAAGACTTGACATGGTTCTTAAGGGATTGGTAAACTTTAGATAGATGGAAATGATTGTTTAAGAACATTTAAAATATGTGATTATGTATGTGAGAAAATAAGGGTACGAAGGGTACAAATGTATGTGTGTATGTTTACTTCAATTTGTAAATATATGTATTTTTATATTGCATATAAAATATACACAGTCTGTTCTACAATGTGATGATTGCATGCCTGAGAAATTTCATACTATTAAAAGTTCATTATAAAACAATATTTAGGAATTGAGTATTTGGGGGCCAGAGTGCCTTTTATATACATTCTTATTACCTTTATTTTTTGTTAAGGTAAACCTCTATATTTTGTGCCATATATTTTTAAAGCAGAAAACAAAAATATATTGTAGCTCAGTGCCCACCATGAAGTAAACACAGAGAAGCTTCTCAGAAATGGAGCACCAGCCATTTTGACAAACAGCTGTGGTTTCTGATGTTTAAAACAATAGCTTTTTTCTATGCACTGTGCTGGTTTTGCATTTATTTTACAAGATATAACTTATGAGAGTGCACTTAACTAAGTTTGTATTCCCCAACTAACCAGTTGCAGTATTTCCCAATTCCTCATGCATAGAAAAATAACGAGTGGAGGGAAATACACCAAAATTATAAAAGTGATTACCTCTGGGTAATATAATTATGGGAGATTTTTATTTTATGTATATCCCCAATTATATGATGGGCATGTACTACTTTATAATCAGGAAAAAAATAAAAGCTTTATAGAATAAAAAGAATGGAAGGAAAGGCATTTAATTTGATTTGCATCACATCAAGCAAGCCAAAGAGGCAACCTTAGGTATTAGTGTCTTCCCTCAAATACCAGCAAATGCTCCAGTAGGGAAGATTTCTCCACTGTAAAATGACTCTTTTATTTCCGCTTTTTTCTATGCTATACCTTTGGAAGGAAGCCACTATGCACAGCCCACACTTGAGGAGTGGGGAATCATGCGTTCCCTCCTGTAGGGTAGAATAGCTACATAATTTATTTAGAATTCTTCTGCACAGATTTGTCTCCTCTATTTATTAATTTATTCCATCATTTATATCAGTATAGATTCATGGATATAATCTTTATTTTGTTGCTCAAATTTTCCAGTTTTGACCTTGGGAGCTCTTTCAGTTAGCTCCTGTGCCTCTTTGACTGACATGCCTCCACCTCCCCTTGCTTGTTTGTAAATTCCCATTCCAACAGTCAGAAACCTGGCTTCTGCCATCAACTACTGTATTAGTCCATTTTCGTACTGCTATGAAGAAATACCTGAGAGTGTATAAAGTTATAAAGAAAAAGAGGTTTAATGGACTCACAGTTCCACATGGCTAGGGGGGCCTCACAATCATGGTGGAAGGTGAATGAGGAGCAAAGGCATGTCTTACATGGCAGCAGGCAAGAGAGCATGTGCAGGGGAACTGCCCTTTATAAAACCATCAGATGTCCTGAGATTTATTCACTATCACAAGAACAGCAGAGGAAAAACCCACCTCCATGATTCAATTACCTCCCACCGGGTCACTCCCATGTCGTGGGATTATGGAAGTTACAATTCAAGATGAGATTTGGGTAGGGACATGGCCACACCATATCAACCACCCATTTACTTAATTGTGCACATCCAGTATTTTTGTATAGTAGTATCAAATTTGTTAACCTGTAACCTCATGGGAAACAACTTTCTCAACTAGAATGTACACTGTTTATTGCTCAGTTCCTCTTGCCTTTAGTATTACAGACTCCACTCATTTCCAAGGTTACTTAGATCAATGCCTTTTTGCCACATTTCTCCTCACTGAAGTTGTTCATACATTTGTAATATGGTGAGATTCTCTTATCACAGTTTTTAACATTCTTTCCTGGGAGCTTCTGATCTCCTCAATGATTTTTTAAAATTTATATACATTAAGTTTAACTCTTTTTCCTGTAAAGTTCTATGATATATCTGAATAGATTTTTTGTTATTCTATGATAACCACCCAATTATAAGAAAATTATTTTGGCACATCCTAGTAAACCCAACTTCATAAAATTGTAAAACTTAACATTGATTGCTCAAGATATTTTAAATATCCAAATAATATCCTGATAGCCAATTACTTATCAATTCACAGAAGAGCTATATTTTTACAATAAATCTGAATGAAATCTCTGTTAGACATTAAACAAAGCCCTTGACCCAAGATCTTCAGCGATTTAATAAACATTTATTATGTGCTACCTGCATTCCAGGCACCATGCTTGGCACTGAAAATACCAACATTAATGAGATCTGATCATTGCAGGACTGTGTATTGAATGCAGTGGTAGAGATGCACAAAGGGCAATGTGGAGGCAGAGTGAAGAGCCACCTAAACCATTCCAGTGAGGCTTAAAGAATGAGTTAGCCAGAGGGAGGCAGAGAATAGAAAAGAATCTTCCAGGTAAAGAGGGCAGGCTAAAGTCACCAGGGATTTTCTAGCATAATGTACATAGGAAACTTTTATAAGTTAAATGCTGGTAGAGTTAGGAGTTGGGGCAGGATTTTGTTAAAAAAAATTAGGTTAGTGAGACAGGCAAGAACTAGATAATGGAGAGCTTGTAAGCCACAGTAAGGAGCTTCAAGTTTATCCTGTGGTTGACAGGGAGCTACTGAAGATTGAAAGTAGAAGAGTGATTCGGACTTGGTCAGATTTGTGTTTTGGAGGGCTCACTTTCACAGCTGTGAGGAGTGGATATGAGGGGGAAAGGACTGAAGACGGGGTGGCCACCAAGAAAACTGTTATTCAGGTAACAGAGGAAGCAGGTCTGACTAGGACAGGAGAACTTGATTGTACAAGCATCAGCCTGGCAGATGCCACCAGGCCAACTGAGCCCCTGACAATAGCAAAGAACCCCTTTCTGATAAATAAGAAAAGTGGCTGCCCTCATGGAAGACTCTTGATAAGTACTTCATTGATTTATTGGCTTTATATCATTTTGTCCCAAACAAGTACTTACGGCACAAAGGAAGAAAGAAGAGCAAGAAAAAAAAATGGAAGATACACACAAGATAAACAAATGAGTGAAGAAATGATATTTTGAAAACTGATTTACCAATCTATCAAAATGCCAGGAATTCAATTTTTTTTTCCATGTCTCTGAACACTATTAAAAGCTCCTTTCTAGGAATGACATGTTGAAAATGAAAATGCCTCTTTGGAATTTCTTCCCAAACACATCAGTTCTAGCCCACATTTAGATTCATTCAATCCACTGCTCCAGTTTAGTAATTGCAATGGAAGCTTCTTACTATACATTTTCTCGTCTGGACTCCCCCTGTCATTTTTTCACCTGTCTGTTTTGGATAAAAATCCTTGAAATATGTCTTTCTCTGCCCCAGAGACATCATAAATCTGGTGTATTTCTTGTTTCTTAGATGGAAGTTTCCAGTAATTCTTTGGACTTTCATAAGATCCAAGAGGCCAGAGATATTTTTAAATATATAAGAAACAATGAAAATAAAAGAAAAAAATGATTAAAGTTGCAATTAATATGCCTAGAGAGAAATAAGCCTTGATAACTTTCCTATTTTTAGAAAACCCACTTTAAAAGAGAGGCAGATGCTAAAATAGGAGAACAACAAGTATCGCATTAACAACCAAAATCCTTCTTCCAGAAGCCATGTTGTACCAACCTCAACCTGTGGTGTGTGGTTCTCAAATCCCCTGAGCTCCTAAACCAGAGAAATTCTGTGTCATGCAAATGAGGCACTCCTGATAGAGTGAAGCTCACTATGAGCAGTCAGTCATCACTTTTTGAGCCCTGGCACTGTGCTCTGTGCTACAGGACACAGGAAACATCAGTCTGTGTTCTCAAGGAGTATGCTGAGATCCTGTTACCTTCTCTCATTATACTGTAAACATGATAGCAAGAAAAGAACTGAAAATAAATATACCACCATGCAGGATGATTACAGAGGCTGAGTGCTGTTTAAGTTAAACCTCCTAGTTTATGGATGCCCCAATAAGCCAGAATGTTCTTAGTAGATATTTCTTCTTTATAGAAGCATAAAGCCCATGGATCTAATAATCATTTTTTGCATTCCTAGTATGTGACAACTCTAGGCTGGGTACTGGGTAATAATAATGAACAAAGAGACAAGGACTCTGCCATCACAAGCAATGAGAGGGAAGGAGAAAGGGAGAATTCAAAAGATAAGATAATTGCAAATTGTGATGAGAACTATGAAGGAAAAAGGGTGAAGAGAAAAGAAGAGGGGCTGTTGGGACAAGACATAGGTGATAAGAGCAGACTTCTCACAGAAAGCATCATGTAGGATGAATGAGAGGGAACCAACCAAGGCCAGAGTGGAAAGAACTTTCCAGGCAGAGGGAACAGCATGTGTAAAAGCAGGTCAGGTTGTCTGCTGCCCAAAGAAGGAGGGCAGGGGTCAGGGGAGATCATGCAGAGCCTGGTGACTCCTGGTGCCAACTTCAGTGTTTTTTCCAGGTAAAGCCAAACACTTGCTCAGTCTGGCTACTGGGCAGAGAATAGGTCAAGAGGGGATGCTGCAAAAGTGGGGCCAGTCCAGACATCAACACACATTAAAATTAATATGAGATTGGCAGGGCGCGGTGGCTCACGCCTATAATCCCAGCACTTTGGGAGGCCAAGACGGGCAAATCACGAGGTCAGGAGATCGAGACCATCCTGGCTAACATGTTGAAACCCCGTCTCTACTAAAAATACAAAAAAAATTAGCTGGGCGTGGTGGTGGGCGCCTGTAGTCCCAGCTACTCGGGAGGCTGAGGCAGGAGAATGGCGTGAACCTGGGAGGCAGAGCTTGCAGTGAGTCAAGATCGCGCCACTGCACTCCAGCCTGGGCGACAAGGCGAGACTCCTTCTCAAAAAAAAAAAAATTAATATGAGATGTACTTAAGACCACTGACATGTACACTTAAAATTGGTACAATGGTAAATTTTATGTTATTAATATGTATATTTTACCATAACAAAAATAATGAATATGGACAGGAAACAGATATTTCCTAAAGATACATTGCCATGAATGTTGTTCCTTCTCATCTCAGACCAACAGGAGCTCCAGGCAGCAACGAGCAGTACAATGTGGGAATGGTGGGGACGCATGGGCTGGAGACCTCTCATGCGGACAGTTTCAGCGGCAGTATTTCAAGAGAAGGAACCTTGATGATTAGAGAGGTAAGTTGGTATAAAAACTGTGTAGAGGAAATGCCATTTCTTCAGTGGTTTTTACATTAAAGCTTTCACAGAGAATGCCTATGGCATGTATTTTAAGTATGGGGAATTCTTGGGGGAGGGAGGACCTGTGCTTCCAAATAGTTGAGTGATTTTAATTGTCTGCTGCCTTCTTTCCTGTATTCTTCTAAGCTCTGGCAGTGTGACTTAATTATATTATTCCAAATTCTTCAGCAGGAGCTATGCAAATCAGAATATAGAATTTGGGCCTGAGGATATAAAATTGCAAACTTAGATGTTTCCTACAACAGGAAAACAGAAATGAATGGTCTCTCTGAATAGCATCACTGGCCTTGTTATGTCTCTTCTCCCCATGGTTTTATCTTAGTGGATTTCGTATAAAAAATGCTCAATAGTTCCAAGAAATGATGATATCATCTTATCTTGTTAAATTAACATTAAAACAACCGTTAAGTTATTTTATTGAAATAACAAAGAAATAGGCAGATCTACTTCAAAAATGTACCTTGGAACTTTGGTTGAATTTTTTTTTAAACTCTAGGAACATCATTTCATTTGGGGGGTGGCACATGTTCCCTTTCATCTGTCCTTCTGACATGCAGTAACTCCCCACTGTGTCCATGCTAACCAGAAAGACCCTGACAAATTGAAATCCGTCTTTTCCTCTTTTTCACTTCATCATCACCATGCAAGTTTGAGTGCAGATATTTACTTGGAAGGAAAGAAATGGCTGAGAACATTGGGCAAATGTTACCTGACCTCTCCCTGCATCCATCTATAAAATTTTATAAATAATAGCATACAACTTATAAGATGGTTGAGAATATTGAGTTAGTAAATTAAGCATTCAATAAATGTTAACTATTTTATTTCACTCTCTCCTCGGAAATGAATTCTCCTTTTACTTGTTATCACCATCCAGTCCTCCCTCTGAAACATAAACATATGTCATCTGTTTTTCCTCTTCAGCCAGGACAGAGTTGGGAAACTCTAATAGCAGACTTTGCTCTCCAAAAAGGCAAAGGGCATCTCACTTTCGTAAGAAAGAAAGGAACTGTAGTTTTGAGATGAATAAGGCCTTTGAAATAATAATTAGCAGTGGGGCTATAACTGGAAGACTAGTTCACAAAGCAACTTGCTAGAATTTCATTTTATGTCCTTGTTGAATCTTTCAAGTAGCCTTTAAAGAGTCCTTTCACATATGCCTGAAATGAAAAATGGACTTGGCTGCTGAAATTGACATTGTGTAGTGCTGGCATATAAATCTCTTCATGTGGTTAATGGATAATTTCAATGGAAGTGTAGAAGGCTTCTATCCCTATAACTTACCACTTAGGAAAACATGAGGGAGAACGTTCTGGAGTGAGTTGCTGTTTGACTCCAGATAAAAGGACTCCGATTTCTAATGTGGCTTAAAATTTGCTTGAGTCTTTATGACAGAGTCAATACCTCCAAGTAGACATTTGGAGCCACATTTTCAGTTCATTGCCAGCCACATCCAAATGGCTCCATGTTATTTATAGCACTCCAGTATTCTATGACCACAACCTGTCACTTTGAAAACAGCATTTGCAGCCGGGCGCGGTGGCTCGTGCCTGTAATCCCAGCACTTTGGGAGGCCGAGGTGGGAGGATCACGAGATCAGGAGATCGAGACCATCCTGGCTAACACAGTGAAATCCCGTCTCTACTAAAAATAAAAAAATTAGCCAGGCGTCGTGGCGGGCGCCTGTAGTCCCAGCTACTCAGGAGGCTGAGGCAGGAGAATGGCGTGAACCCGGGAGGCAGAGGTTGCAGTGAGTGGAGATCGTGCCACTGCACTCCAGCCTGGGCGACAGAACGAGACTCTGTCTTAAAAAAAAAAAAAGAAAGAAAGAAAGAAAGAAAATAGCATTTGCCAGTGTCTTATAGGAATTTGATCTATTAAGGAACCCAAAATATTTTTGTCCTCTCAATTTCCAATTCTGCCTTCCTCAATGTGGGTTTTTTAAATAACAAACTGTATTAGTTGGGGTTCTCCAGAGAAAGAGAGTATTTACATATGTAGAGAGAGAGAGACTGCTTTATTATTATTATTATTATTTTTGGAGATGGAGTCTCGCTCTGTCACCCAGGCTGGAGTGCAGTGGTGCAATCTCGGCTCACTGCAACCTCCACCTCCTGGGTTCAGGCGATTCCCCTGCCTCAGCCTCCCAAGTAGCTGAGACTACGGGTGCACGCCCAGCTAAATTTTTGTATTTTAGTAGAGATGGGGTTTCACTGTGTTGCCCAGGCTGGTCTCAAACTCCTGAGCTCAGGCAATCTGCCCGCCTTGACCTCCCAAAACGCTAGGATTACAGGCGTGAGCTACCACGCCCGGCCGAGAGACTGCTTCATTATGAGGATGTAGCTCATATGATATGGAGGCTGAGAAGTCCCATGATCTGCCATATGCAAGCTGGAGACCCAGGGAAGCTGTTGGTATAAATCCTAGTTGGAAGCTGGGTGAAGATGAGATGAAATGTCCCACTTCAACCAGCGGAGAAGAAAAAGAGGGAGAAAATTCCTTCTTCCTCTGCCTTTTGTTTTGTTCAGGTCCCCAGCAGATTAGATGATGCCCATCCCACTTGGAAAGGGCAATCTACTTTACTGAGTCTACCAATTAAATGCTAATTGCTTCCAGAAACACTTACAGACATACCAGAAAAAATGTTTAACCGAGGCACCCCATGGTCTAGTCAAGTTGACACATAAAATTAACCATCATCAAACCTTGAGCTGAAAATTACTAAAAGTACATGTTTAAACAAGATAAATGCAGGTTAAAGTTTATCCCTGACAAAATAAGAACATAAAATAAAAACTCATTATAATAAGATTTAGCTTATAGGGTGCTATTAGTACAGTTCTCCAAGATGAACTTTAGGAGAACTCACCCAACTTGTCATCTTGTGGAGTGGACTAGATGGTTCTATAAGAACATACCACTCTAACACTCATGATCCTGTCAGATGCACAAATTTCCCCTTGTAGTGCATACCCTTATCCCTGTGGTTCTACCTATCCCTGTCCTATAGCCCCACAGGACCACTTTTTACTCGGTTCTAGAATACACCACACCAGCTGTGAGCTGCCATTTGTCCATGGAAGCTCATCTGCTGGAAGAGGTATTTTGTATTATCCACTGCTACCCACACTTCACCAAAAGAAGGTCCCTGTTCTCAATCTTCCTTATCTCCTACAAGCCTCTACTGGGACTCCATGGACCTTTGTACACAGCACCTTCCTGGTATCTTTTCAGCGTTGATCCTCCTCACTGAACCAGAACACTAGCTTGTCATCATGAAGGCTCTTTGGGTTACAAGTAATGAGTAAAAGAACCCACTTAATACAGAGTAAGCAAAAAAAAAAAAAAGAAAGAAAGAAAAGAAAGAAAAAAAAGAACATTTTTTAAGTCGGGAGAGGGTAGGTATCAGAAATAGAGGAGTAAAGGAAGATTTAGGGTATTTCATGGAAGGAACCCAAAGGTAAAAGTGAGCTGAGCCTCTTTGAAGGACTGGAACAGACAGGAGCTCAGGCAGCTTCTCATGTGCAGGTCTCTGGCTCTCTTGCTGCCTGTCTCTCCTTACCCTAATCTCTGCTTTCTTCCACATTTCTCCTTTGCTCTTCTCTCTCTTTGTAGAGGAGCTTTCTCTCCCTCTGCATGCTCCTGCTTTCACCTCTCCACTTCCTCCATTGCAAGATACTCACCACATCCCAGTTCAACTGCCAGCAGAAACTGATCCATGTCTCTTGGGCTTAATATTAAATTCCAGTGGGAATCTGGTCCCTCTTGGCTCAGGCATCCACCCCTGATTCAATCAGCTGTGACCAGGAGTAGGCCCCCTAATACAACAGTGCAGCCCAGAGCACCTGGGCTCTGCCATAGGACAGCTGGGTTCAAACCACTTAGAACCCGTGTCACTCAGGGCAAGATAATTGATGGAATGTCATATATAAAGTGTTTAGCACAGTACTTGGCATGTGGTGGTACACAGAACATCTTTGTGCCAATCCCCACGGGAATGGTGAGAGATAAAGACGAGATATTATTGAGGTTCTGTTAATGAGGTTCTTAAGGCTGTTGTACATCTGTCTTTGTGTTTCCAGTACAGTACTTGGCACACAGAAAGTGTTTAATAAGAAGGTGCTGGTGGAGTGAACAAAAGGGTGATGACTCAGAAGTGGGCAGATTCAGAGCATACTACTGGATTCCTTTAAGCTTCTCACTATCTGAGCCACTTCCCCTTGTTAGCCTCTCTGAGTCTCTCTTTGATAACCAGTGTGTCTGCATCAGTTTTTGGCTTGAGAAAGAGTGCTGCTGATACAAGAGAGGCCAAAAAATTCCAAAGAGATGACATGTGATTTATGCTAAAGAGAGGTTTGGGGAAAATGTTTAAAAGCTTTTCAGTATTTGAACAGAAGTTAAAAGAAAGGAGAAACTGCCCAGTATACATAAAGTAGCACACAATAAGATGTATTAGGACTGAATTTCCTAAATGTCATTTAGAAAAGGAAATGCTCAACTCTGAGAATAGGCACTAATACACGCTACTGATGGCCACTGTGACAAAATGAATCCAGAAAATGTTCCTCTCCAGGACAGCTCGTAGTCCAGGAGCAGGTTGCCAAGAAACACAAAGGACACTAGGCTTTCCAGTTATCTCTCAAGCTTCCTGGAAACATCAATTACATGCACCATTACAGGAGCTTGGGAGTCTGTTTCATCTAAACAAGAAAAAAGAAAAGAAGTGCCTCCTTTCACTTCCAGCCAGAGGCAGGTGCAGAGAGCTGTAATTGCAAATCCATGACAAGCTCCAGAAGTAAAAAGCTAGGCTGGTGAGATGGTCAAAGAAACAGCATGAAACCTTGCACATGCCAGTAGAATGCTTTACACTTAGTAGGAACTAAAAAATACTGTGTTGATGAATGAATGAAAGAAAAGGCAGAGAGGGAAATCATCACTTAATCAGATCTGCTCTAAGAATCCTCAATGAGCCAGTTGCATAAAAGTTAAAAAGTGCAACACTAGTCAGGCCTACAATGTGGGCACTGGCTTTTGGAAACCAGAGTTGTCTTTTAATCTTGCCTTTCCTCCCTGGGGTTTTTTTGGCAGAGACTGCTCTCCAGAGCAATGGCTTCCAAACTTGTTACATCACGTAATCCTATCAGTAAAAACTGTACAGCGTGTCACCTAATACAGTGTATTTATTCACAAGTCATACATTTTTTTCTACTGCACTGACATTATATACATTATAAAATACCTTTGGCCGGGCATGGTGGTTCACACGTGTCATCCCAGCACTTTGGGAGGCCAAGGTGGGTGGATCACAAGGTCAGGAATTCGACACCAGCCTGACCAACATGGTGAAACCCCATCTCTACTAAATACACAAAAATTAGCCGGGTGTGGTAGCACATGCCTGTAATCCCAGCTACTCAGGAGACTGAGGCAGGAGAATTGCTTGAACCTGGGATGCAGAGGTTGCAGTGAGCCAAGATCGCGCCACTGCACTCCAGCCTGGGCAACAGAGTGAAGAGTCCATCTCAAAAAAAAAAAAAAGAAAAACCTTTAAAGGACATTAAAAAGGGATATTAGAGGTGATGTTTCAAATGCTTTGCTAGTTATGACTTTGTTACTGCCTACATCACAAAGCACCATAGTTATTTATTGAGACATAAACATTTATGATAGTTGTAAATCCATATTTTCAAATAGTATTCTAGATCATGTCAATATATTTGGAACTCCTGTCAGATCTGATTAATCATTGTTTTGACCTTGTGAATGACAAAGAGCCCTGTGAGTTAAGTATGGTCTCTGCCCTTTCTTGGAGTACTCCACACACACTGCTTCTTTTCAGCAACACTTTAGGTCGTTTATCTGTTGTGTGGGTTTGTTTCATTGTAACCTGGTAATATGATCTGTAAATATATATAAGTGGCAGGTGCATACAGCACAAGTACTACAAAAGAGTTTACAAGTGTGGGCCCTGCTCAGTCCCTCCCTTTTTGTAGCGTCTCCCTCTGTACATGGGACTCCCATGCCATATGTGACCACTGTCTGTACCTCATGCAGGAACGTAAGGCTTCAGGCTCAATCCATAAACTAAATATTGGCAAAGCTTAATTTCTTTTTTGTTTTCTTAAGTAAAATAGAAATGTGAATATCACCTTCTCATGCCCTAGTGGGTTGATTTGGAGCCCCGTATGCCTATGCTGTGTGAGGGCTGATGTCACTCTGTGGCCTTTTTCCCCCCTCTCTAACTCCTCCCACGTGCTGTGCTCCCTCAGACGTCTGGAGAGAAGAAGCGATCTGGCCACAGTGACAGCAATGGCTTTGCTGGCCACATCAACCTCCCTGACCTGGTGCAGCAGAGCCATTCTCCAGCTGGAACCCCGACTGAGGGACTGGGGCGCGTCTCAACCCATTCCCAGGAGATGGACTCTGGGACTGAAGTAGGTGCTGGGCAACAGCTGACATGACAGTTCTGCTGTCCTTCCTGGGGTTCTAAAACCATGATCTCTTCAAGAATGAGGCTTCGCCAAGCTCCTTGAAACTTGTTTGGTTGGTTTCTACCATAGAGCTACTTATGCAGATACTCAAATAGAGAAATCATGGAAGCAGAGCAGTGAAAAGTTCTCAGATATCATCTGAACCAATACCTGTTTCTACAGATGAGTGTACTGAGGTTCACAGAGGTTGAATGACTTGTCCAAGACACACAGCTGGTTTGTGACAGATCTAAGACCAGAACTGGGACCTCCAGTTCTGATGGAAACTTCAGGCTACACAGATTTCAAGGCCAACAGTTGAGGTTTATATTTGTGTTAATTTAGTCAAACTAAGTATGACTTAAGTAAAATGAAGTTTAAATGATTTGTTTATGAAAAATAAAATTTAATAAATAGATAAGTTCTTAGAGTGTTCATCTTTCATAAATTCAAAATTGTGTGAGAAGAAAGAAACCAAGCATTACCTTTCCTGTAGAGAAACAGCCCCAGCGAAAAGTCTGAATAAACACAATCTGTAGGTAGTGCCCATAGACGCTGATGACTGACACCAGTTGGATGAGTTCACAGTGTGTAGTCTTGTTTCATTAACAGTCTTGTCAATCACACGTAAGGCCCTAAATGTGTTTATAAAGCACATGTACTATTATTTTTGACATTGTCCACACACTAAGTTTTTATGATGCACCCTTTGAATTCTAAAGTTATAGAGTAGATGAGCTTTGCATACCCCAAGGAAAAGAACACAGTGATATACTGCAAAGCACAGCATCCTATTGTAATTTCATGCTGTGTGGGCATTTTCTGCCTGAACACCTCTCTTGGTACCAAGGAGGACACCATAAGATTGAACCCTGGTTCAAATTCTGCTGCTGCCCCAGCTCTATGTGGAAATGTTAGTGCCTGCCCTACCTCTTTCACAGACATCTTCCAAAGATCAAAAGAGAACATGTACGTGAAAGTGTTCTATTTGGTAGGGGGAATTCAACCTTGAGGAGGATGAAATGGTTTTGATTTCATAGGATGGAAAGAAAATCTTGAATTAAATCAGATTAGATCTTTGTGGTTTTCTCCTTATATGTTTAGAGGTCTTGGATGGTGGTTTTATTTTTAAATAAAAACCTAACAGTAAAACTAAAGTGAAATAACCTTTAGTTAAAGATATTTATCCAAAAAAGATGTGCTTATTATGTTGAATACAGATGTGTTTATGATGTTAAAGGACAAGAATAGAAGAAATGGACATGACTGACATTGCAGCTTATTCAGCAAAACTCAAATTTAGAATATTGTGACATAAAACCCTGATATTGAGTTTACTGTTCCCTCATCTCCTTCTGACATCATGTTTTCATGGTGCCATTCAAGCCCAAGATTCATTTTTTAAAGTAAGCCTTCAAGGTACATTGCTCACAAACGTAATATCCTCATGAAGTCCCTAAATAAGGATGTAAATGTAATTATTCTTTTAAGGAAACTATCGTGGGAAGGAAATATCTTCAATTCCAGCATAAAATCATCCCTGAATTGAGGATTTTAAAGCTTTTGGAGCCAACACCAATTCACTTGCATCACCAGGCCAGAGTAGAAGGGCTCAAAGCTCTCCTCCCCAAGAGAAAGCCCCTTGGTTTGACTCTGTTCAGGATAAAGTACTGCTGTATAGGCTTCCTTACTTAGTTTATTGCCAATTATGTCAGCTTTTCATATTGATCAAGTAGTCAATATAGGAGGTTGCTTTTACTGAAAGGGAGAGGTAAGCTCTGTCACCACAGTGATCTTACAGATTTTAAGGTGCCACATGTGGTCCAAAATGTAATTTTCTCACTACAATTCTTGCAGTCTGATAATTAATGAAGTCCTACGAATGCACAATGACTAGTGAGTAACCAATACCAGAAGAAGCTGGAGACAGGCACGCACTGACTAGAGCACTAGAATGTGAACACCTGAATACCTTGAAGAATCTGTGATCGTTTTACAGCCCAAGCACAGTATTGTTAGCATTGTTATTCCTGCAGTATTTATCTGCTCTTCTTAATCTTCTTGCTTATTGATTAGTATGGCATGGGGAGCAGCACCAAAGCCTCCTTCACCCCCTTTGTGGACCCCAGAGTATACCAGACGTCTCCCACTGATGAAGATGAAGAGGATGAGGAATCATCAGCCGCAGGTAAGCAAGAAGGGCCCTGTGTTTAAAAAACAGCTTCGTCTTCCTTTCTGGTATGACCTGATAAGGAAATTAATCCTCAGTTCAGTAGTTAAGCTGATTACTGCTTAGGTCCTATCTTAAAAGGAAGACTTTTTAAAATTATTATTTCTGTAGGACTCCTAAAACAAATGTATTACTTTCCATTTTTTTTCCCATCTCTTCTATTTCGTTTCTGGTAGACCCAGGGGTACATAGGGACCCTAGGAAAAGCTGTTCCTCAGTGATCTCTGAACATAACTAAATGTTTCCCCAAAACAATTTCTGGGTACAATGTTTTACACACATTAGGCACTTAATAAGTGTATGGTACATTGTGTTGAGTTCTAGGTGTGTGCTTCCCACCACAAAGATCAGGCTGATTTAAAGGAGTCTTGCTTTCTAATCTTCTTCAAGTAATTAATCATCAAAGTCAGCTTAGGACAGTTTTTCAACTGATAAACTGCAATTTTAAAAAGTAGATCTTTTTTGCCTATATACAAGAGTGGGGATGGTGTATTTAATTTGGGACTTTCTAGACTCTGCAAGTAGTGTCTATAAGCCTGTTTTTCTAATGAATAAAAGATTCCTTTGATGAATGACTTAGACTTTATTCTACTAAAACAAAAAAAAAGTGTAAAATAAGGAGAGTTTCAGAGTTTCCTTGCCTTTACTATAATTCAAACCAAACAAGGAGAAATCATAGTGTTTTGAAGCCCCATCTCCATAAGTTATCTTTTAAGATGTCACTGACTTCTCTGATTCTTTTTCTCAAAGCTCTGTTTACTAGCGAACTTCTTAGGCAAGAACAGGCCAAACTCAATGAAGCAAGAAAGATTTCGGTGGTAAATGTAAACCCAACCAACATTCGGCCTCATAGCGACACACCAGAAATCAGAAAATACAAGAAACGATTCAACTCAGAAATACTTTGTGCAGCTCTGTGGGGTATGTTGGTGCTTTTTTTTTTTTTTTTTTTAAATAACCACTCATTAATGAACTGACCCTCAAACATTAAAAGCCTGTGGATCTTGTCATCAAAAGAACACTGGTTGAATCCTGGGTATTAGAGACCTAACTTGGGACTATCTTGACCTCAGGAGAAACCAAAAGGAGTTTTATATGTAGAAATAGCTGATACGCTACTAGCCAGGAAGACGAGATTAGATTCAGAGCAACCTTGTCACACAATAGTGATAGGCTAAAGCCAACAAGAGAACTAGCTACCACTGAATACATTGAGTGGGCAAAGCAAAGCCTATAATGTGATCAATCAGAGGCGATTTGTGTCTGGCACTTTGTGATATACCCCACGTTCATTCTCCATGATCCATACCACATCCTGCAAGGGGAATATGAGCATAAATAATGGCATAAACCTTTATTTCAAGCTGAAAAATCAGCCCAGAGTATTTTTGTGAATTACTAAAGGTCATAACCCTAGCAATAACAAGATAAAACTTGAAAAGAACAACAAATAATTTAATGAACTTTCCCTTTTAGTTTAAAACATCAATCTGCATTTTCTCGTGAAAAAGATCTGCAGGTTTTAGCTGACCTCAAACTCAGGAGAGGCATGATGAGATTCTATCAAAGTCTTGGTCTGTGTTACTATAAACATCTCATACAGATTAAGGAAGGACATGTCCCCTGTGTACCCACTGAAAATACTAGGCTTGGATTGGGGAACCATAATTTTAAAAGGCTGAAAGCATTTGAGATGTTAGCGGGGAAGAGTGTGAAGCCTAGGAACCATTTCATGATAGAGGCTCTGTCCTCTGGAGAAGAGACAGAAGAGAACAAGATAGCCACATTTAATACTGAAAGGATTAATATATGGACAAAAAAGCAGACATTTGTGTTGATCAGAAGATAGAAGTACAAGACGTAAGAGAAGTTAGAGAGTTACATGTTCATGAATAAAGTACACTGCACAATGAGCCTCTCAATGTGTGTGTGTGTTGAGGGGTGGATGATACATTTCCCTAGCCATAAATTTTTAGGATTACAACTACCCAGACAAAGCCACTTATGTGCCTGTGCTTCTGTAATAGGGATTACTGCATGGGTGTTGGGCTGCACTAGATTTAGAGACCTGAGAAGTCCCTTAAAGTGAGTATGTCTGTGACTCTCCAGCTATTAACACTTCTCTTGAATGGGTTTATCATTTCCCTAAAAAAGAGCAAAAACTTGAGGGTATGGGGCATAAGATAGTTACATTTTGATTCAAGAAGGAGGAAGGGCCTTTCTTCCATTGGAGTATGGAAATGGAAATTCCACTGTATATTGAAGGTGGGTAGGCTAGAGACCACTGCATAGGGGTGGGGGTGAATCTTGGGGAAGAAGAGAAGTGATTTATAGGGAGAGCCAAGAAAGAAGTGGTTTTTCCAGGCAGGGAATAAAGGCAAATTATGCTAGCTTCACATCTGTGCCTAAGGCTCCTATTGACAAGGACTCTCTGCATTAGGTAGTAAATAACTAGATGTATGAATGCTGCTAACTTTATAAAAGAAAACTGTAATTTCATTACCAGAAGTACAATGATTTAATTATTATGTCAGAGCTTCTACATTCATTAGTTTATATTTACCTACTTGCCCATTAGTGTATATTTACAAGTCACAGTTTCTTAAATTTTATAGGGACTCTCGATGCAGAAGATTAAAGTTCATGAAAAGTCAGTCTTAGGGTGCTTCTTAAATTTACAGGTGTAAACCTTCTGGTGGGGACTGAAAATGGCCTGATGCTTTTGGACCGAAGTGGGCAAGGCAAAGTCTATAATCTGATCAACCGGAGGCGATTTCAGCAGATGGATGTGCTAGAGGGACTGAATGTCCTTGTGACAATTTCAGGTATGTTACTAAGATGATGAGTCCCCCAGGTCCATACAGCGGGAAAGGGATCCACCTCATTTCTGCAGAAACAGTTAGTTCTGCCCTTCCCAGCTAACAAACAACACAATAAAGTATAGCAGTATAGCCAGAGTGAGATTGCCCACATTTTGTAACACTGGGAATTCTGACCTCCAAAAAGAAGTCTCTCACCTCTGCATTAAATCTGAATTAGGCAGAGACATACCACAAAGGCTATATATTTATAGCTCTTTACCTCTGTCAGGACTCAGCAAGGATCTTCGGATGTTTTTAAGGTTTCTGCACTCCAGTTATTACCACATACAGACAGAATATCAAAATGCAGGCTTCCTAGAGGGACATTTAGTAAGCAGAAATTTCTTGGTCTCTTCCCTCAAAAATTCTCTTGCTTATAGCCCACTGATGTTTTGGCAGGTGCAGCTGGCACACTGGGTGATCAAGTCTACAAAAAGATTTGAGTGTGGGAATCATTACTGCTATGCTCTGTAGCTTTCTGATTCCCAAAAAGAGCCTTATATAGGAAAAAAAAAAAAAGATGGAGACTAAAGTGAAGGCCTTGTAACAAGTTAAAAATGCAACCTAAAAGAGGGTAGTTTTGTTGAAAGTTTTTTTTCTTTTTGGTATTTGAAGGAGTTTAACGAGTAACACCCGTCACTTCCCCTCTCATTCCATCTAGTATGGAACCAACTTGCTACTGCACTTTATAATCACCTAGGGAGATGTGAAAATCTAGGCTGCACCCCCAGACCAGAGTCAGAATCTCTGGGGGTGGGGTTTAGGCATCAGGAGCGTTCATAGTTTCTGATGTGTTTCCATTGTACAGCCAAGTTTGAGAACATGGATTTATGCTCAGCCATTGTTTCACGAAGAGACAACACAGGGATGCTGGTTTGAACTTTCCTCAAAGTTCAGCTGTACTTCCATTTTGACAAAATGCTTTTGCTTGTCACTAAACTTCCTCTTTCTTTTACCTTTCCACTGAATGCTCAGTTTCATCTCTTTTTATTCTCCCCAAATAAGGTTAACCAGGTAAATTCCTTTTGTATTGCCATTTGAGTTTAATCCCATGTAGTCTTTTGTTCTGGTTAATTGCTGTCCTGATTGCTATACTACCAAATCAAAATGAAAACTGCATATCTGCCAAAAGTGGGAATGCAACCAGAAAATTCACATTCAGACTTCATTATGTTGTTAGTGGCACATCTTCATTCTTAACAGTGTAAGAGTTTCCTTTTCTCATGAGGCACAGATAGGGAAAGGAGAAAATGAAAATAGGAGCAAAAGATTCTTGAACTAACCTTGGATTCATATTGGCATAGAAAGGAGGAAACACTGGCTCTCGTGTCCATCCTAGCTACTGTGATCAATGTGGATTCTAGGCCTTTGGTTACAAAATTGAATACTGACCACACAATGATTCCCTTAGTTTAGGTGATGAATGTGCTCTCCTGTCAAATGCATGTGTAATGCTTTACTAAGTTCTCTTCTGCTGGTATATATTCATCTATAAAATATAAAACATTTTTTTTGGGAGAGGCCGAGGCGGGCGGATCATTTGAGGTCAGGAATTCCAGACCAGCCTGGCCAACATGGTGAAACCCCATCTCTACTAAAAATATAAAAATTAGCTGAGCATGCTGGGAGCGGCACCTGTAATCCTAGCTACTTGGGAGGCTGAGGCAGGAGAATCGCTTGAACCCAGGAAGCAGAGGTTGCAGTGAGCCGAGATCATGCCACTGGACTCCGGCCTTGGCGACAAAAGTGAAACTCATGTCTCAAAAAAAAATAAATAAATAAATAAATAAAACATTTTTAAAGCCTAAGATAAAGAAAAATAAGTATCCAAAAAATAAAACCCATAGAGCTAAATTTATCATTAGTTAGGAAGAGTCATCCCAATGGACATTTTATCTGGTGCAAATCATCAAATGGAGTATATCAAGTTTTGCTACTTGTGTACTCTTCAATATTGTCTAAATATTTTATCATCCTATGAATTCTTTATTCCAAGATCACTTTACCAAACGGAAATTTAAGTTTTCAAGTTTGCATCCTTTTTTTCCTATTTTTGTTCAGTATTCCTTTCAGTGACTTCAGCACCATAAACCTGCCCAGTATAATTTTCTGAACCCATATTATCCTCTTGTTTGTTATTAGGTTATACGGTGAAGGAAAGGCAGGTGCCAAAATGCCCAGTTGCCAACACTTCTTCATGTGATTGATCTAGAATGTTCTGGAACTCTGATCACTCTGTTGAAGAGTTAGCTCTTACTAAGTTCAGCAGACACTGCTTTGCATTGGGAAGAGAGAGTAAGAGCACATGCTCAAATAAGAAACCACCTGAAGATAAAAGACATTGTAATTCTGTGATGTGTCTAAAACACGTAGAGCTATTTTAACCATAAGTTCTGGCAGAAACACCATTTTAATGACAAAGTGCTGGGGACACTGGTTATTATGCCTTCATACACACACACACACACGTAAATAAAATAAATTAGAAATAAATGGAGGTGGGGAAGGAAAAAGTGAGAGCTGTCACAGCAATTTGAAATTAAACCTCTATTATTTCAACAGGAAAGAAGAATAAGCTACGAGTTTACTATCTTTCATGGTTAAGAAACAGAATACTACATAATGACCCAGAAGTAGAAAAGAAACAAGGCTGGATCACTGTTGGGGACTTGGAAGGCTGTATACATTATAAAGTTGGTAAGTCTCAAGACATGGAATTATAAGTTTGGTCTGTTTACTCAATCAGACTTACTTAGTTAGGTTTCACCTAGTTTTTTCTATCAGATTGATGATGCATGTGTGACCAGCTTCAGATGTTGCTGGAACCTTCAGCATTATTTATATTTTTTAAAAGCCAGATTGATGAAATTGAAAGAGTGCATTCAGAATAAAGTCCTAGGCTCCAGTTTGAACATTTATATCTACTTTCTTCCAAAGACTCATTAAAATGACAAGAAAAGAATAAAAATGCCATAAGCCTATGAGGACAGTGGGACCAAGAGAAGAGAAGAAATGTCGGTAAAATCGAAAGAGTAGCTGAGTGACTGGAAAAAGACCTAGAATACCAGGAAATTCTGAATTCTGAATCTGCAGTGAGGAAAATGATCAAAATCAATCCAACAGAACCTGGAAAGGCCCAGGAACTAAGGCCCCAGGGGAATCTCAGGTGGAAGTGGAGGTGTAAGGTGGGACTGAAAATAGAATTGTTAGAAAATTCATGAGCAGCAAGTCTTCCAGAACCCAGTCTCCACCTCTGAGTAATTAGGCCACTACCTTCCTCTGCTGCAACAGAAGATGAAAGGTTTGCACAGCCAATATGATGCTGGGAATACTTGTGAAAACACACACACATACACATCCCTCTAACCCCTACTTAGCTCCCAAATAGCCATGCCTATACTCCCTGGGAAGAGAATGTAAGAAATGTCTTTGGAGAAACTAAATGGCCAGAAAGAAAAGATGTACAGGTACTAACATTTGAAGTGCCATGAAAAAAGCTTGCTGCCTAACTACCCTAAAGATAAGCCTGTCTATACCAAGGAGTGGAGAAATTCACAAATATGAAGGAAACCTAAACAAACAGAAAGAAAGGACGTTAGAAGAAACAGGGATAATAAGGAGTGGAAGAAAATGTAAAAAGAAAGAAAGGAAGGAAGCAAGAAACTATAATAGCTTTACAGAGATTAGAAAACTTCTTTCTATAAAACAAGAAAAGGGCTGTTAAAAAAAAAGGTAGAACAAAGTAGGGGAAAGTCATTTAGAGACCAAGAAAAAATTTTGCAAACTAAAATGTATTGGCAGAAATAAAAAATGTAATAAAAGTGTTAGAAGATAAGGAATTCTCCTAAAGAGTAGAACAAAAAGCAAAGCAGAGAAAATATAAGAAAATAAAAAGATCAGTCCAAGTGGTTCAAAATCTAAGTAATAAGAGTTTTAGAGAATATGAAATGAAAGTATTGAAGAAAGAATATAAGAAAGGTATCTAGAATTAAAAGCCTTGAAATCCCATATTAAGAGGATTCACTGAGTGTCCAGCATACTAAATGAAAGAAAGACTCACAAAAAGACATATCAACATGATATATCAATACCTGGGAAATGAGAAGGCCTTCAAAACTGGCAAAGCTGTCAGAATATAAGTAAATAAATAACAAACAGTTTACATACAATAGACCCAGAATAAGTGTGGCCTGGGACGTCTCAGCAGCAATATAGAAGCTTAAAAGACAATACAGCAAGGCCTTCCAAATTCCCAACAGAATTATTTCCAACTAGTATTTTATAGCCCTCCTGTGTTAAGGGTTAAGGAGATATATATATATGTGTGAGTGTGTGTATGTGTATACACATATACATACATACATACAGCTGTATATATGTATGTACATACATATATACACATACATATGTATATATATGTGTATATACATATGTAGAGAGAGAGATTATGAGGAATTATTTCACATGACTATACTATACAGGCTGAAAAGTCTCAAGATTTTCAGTCAACAAGCTCATTCAGACCCAAGAGAGCCAAAGTTTTAAGTCCAGTTCAAATCTGAAGGCCTGAGAACCAGGAGAGCTGATGGTGTTGTTCCACTATGAGCACTGGTAGGCTCAAGACCCAAGAAACGCTGATGCTTCAGTCCAAGTCTGAAGGCCAGAAAAGACTGATGTCCTAGCTCAACCAAGCAGGAAGACTCAGCCTTTTTGTTCTAGTCTGGTCTCCAAATGATTGCATAAGGCCCACCCACATTGGGGAGGGCAGTCTACTTTATCACACATGATTTACTCCTGTCTTAAAAATTTACTTTTCATGCACCATTTCTCAGGAAGCAACTGAAGGATGTGTTCCACCAAAATAAATAACTAAACCTAGTAGTCCAGGAAGATGACGAAAATACCCAGAATGATGGTGAAGGGAACCTGGGGTGACAAGTCTGCCACAGGCCTAGAAAGAAATAAGTCCTGGCAGAGTGGGACAATGCAGGGTTCCAGGAAAGATGCCTCCAAGAAAAATAAAATGGTATAAATAGATGACCTGCTGCGTTTGACCATGTTGAAGGGCATTTATCAGCAGAAAGTTTACATGTGCTTAGAGAGAGATACATAGAAAACAAGTATAAAAAAAAAGGGGGGGGGGAACAAGAAAGGAAATGTAACCATGGTATACTACATACCTCAGTCATGAACAATAATAATTTTAACACTCAATATTGATTTAACCAAAAATTTAAAATACAGCTATATTTAGAGTTTACAGAAGTAAATCGTGTGTGCATATGCATAAGAAAGAGAAGAAGCTAGAGAGAGAAGGAAATGATGTGAGAAATTAAATCCTTTCCATACTACAAAGTCAGTAAATAATGTCTGTGACTGAAAAAAAAAAATCAAGGAATAACATTATAATCATGTTATTTAGAAATCTGGAAACAAATTGCTGAAAGAAGTAGTTGAAAGAGTTGCAAGCGGTTGTTTTTATGGAGCAGGAATCAGCAGGGAGGCAGGTACTTGGTTTTCATAAGCCCTAGAGTTCTTTGGCTTTTTAAAATAGGTACCTGTAAGACTTGTTCAATCCATAGCTGATAAGAAAATGTGTGGAGGCTTTTAAAATGTGTACTAGATAAAATACATTAATTATTTAACATAAAGAATGACAATAAAGGAGCGGCGGAGGAACTTTAGACACCTTCAGTTCAAAGGAGTCCATGATGTGGTCTCAGAAAAGTATGAGACACATTTGAAATTTTAACCAGTCAAGTGGGTCCAATCATGTGTGATGACATAATGTCGGCTGAAATCTAATCAAGTGTATCAAATACAGAATGTGGAAACAGAAGGGGCATGCTATAAAGAAGAGCTCAGAAAGAAAGAACTTCAGTGTATCACATTTTGCCAACTAGAAAGGGGACTCTATTTTGAAGCAGAGTCTCCACCTGCCTTTTCTCTAATTTCATTCCAGGTGACCTTCCCAGATAACCTTGACACAATATTAGGAAGTGTTGGGGCTGGCTAGTGAACCTGAAGGTTTGGTGCCTGAGAAGGACATGTTCCTCACTTAATAACATGTCACTCACAGTTTTACAAAGGAAAAAAAAAAAGCCCCTGACCTTACAACATTATCTATGTCTTACAACATAGATAATGTATGTATTGATAAGTATAAAAAGCAGCCTTTGGGCCGGGCACAGTGGCTCACGCCTGTAATCCCAGCACTTTGGGAGGCCAAAGCACGTGGATCGTGAGGTCAGGTATTTGAGACCAGCCTGGCCAACATAGTGAAACCCTGTCTCTACTAAAAATACAAAAAATTAGCCAGGCATGGTGATGGGCACCTGTAATCCCAGCTACTCGGGAGGCTGAGGCAGGAGAATCACTTGAACCTGGGAGATGGAGGTTGCAGTGAGCCGAGATGGTGCCACTGCACTCCAGCCTGGGCAACAGTACGAGACTCCATCTCAAAGAAAAAAAAAAAATAGCAGCTTTTGGAAAAAAAAAAAACGTTTAATGTCTGTAAACGTATGTGGCCAGAGCCACATCTACATCTCACCGGCACTTAGCACAGAGCCAGGCCCAGGGAAATCAGTTAAGAAGTATTTGTTTTTTTAAAAAGGAATGGATGTTCAAAGGACATAGCTTTATTCATAAACCAGACCACATGCGGGAATGTTTTTCTATAGCAGGCTGGGCAGCAGTGCAAGCTATTTGCTCCACTGTACATTTTTGTTCAGGAATCAGAATTATTTGGTACTTTCTAATAGGGATACCCTGGAATTCTAATTTTTTCTTGTCCTCAATCTGATAATTTGGCAAAGTATAAAACATACATCCCATCATTCTCACACCAAATAGAATTCAGATTCATATGCATATTTGGTTTTCTTTTGAAAATAGTGAGCTGCTTTCTTTGAGAACAGGTCATGTTTTCAGGGGAAAGCAATAGAAACAATTTCAAAGCTGTTTCCTTTTGAGTATTTTGCCTTTATTACTTGGCATTTGTTAGTCCAAAGATTTCTAGTGATCAAATTTTGTGTCCATAAACTAATACTGTATGATTACAGAGCAATAAAATTCATTGCAGGAAATAATGCAAAATTTCTGAATATTATCTCTTGCATATACCTGACAAGTGTTTTTCAAAAACATCAGGCTACAGGAATCCTATTTGACCTGCACATCTACTGTTGGCCCTTCTAACATTTCTGACGTCTTCCTTCTAATCATTGCCGTCCCTTCATTGTCCTAACATCAGTAGGCTGATCTATATCCACACATCTAAAGTAAAATTTAACCAGGGAGCAATATCTGGTAATTCTCTATCAGAAAACTTGAGACCAGCTTAATTTTCAGAAACACTGTTTGCCTTAGTTATCCAAAGAACCACTTGTAGTTTCCACTTAGCTTCCCCTATGAAATTCCAGCCACAACAGCACTGACATCTTCTTGTAGCACGAGTATTCTAGTATGTTCAAATTCTTGTGAAATTTTAAAAATATAAAATGAGAATAAAAAAGAAAAGCAAATTGTATATCCAAGAGTCATTTAAAATATTTCTTGATTTATCTGAGCCTATATGTGCTTAGATAAGTTTTTATTTTCAAGATGATTTTAAATTTCTTTAAAAATATAAACTTATTTATTTCTTCTTTCACCCTGAAAATCAGCAAAATCTGAAGGGATTTTTTTTTCTTTTCTTTTTAAAATTTATTTTAGATCCAGGGGGTACATATGCAGGTTTGTTTCATGGGTATATTGCATAATGGTGAGGCTTGGGCTTCCAGTGAACTCATCAGCCAAATTGCGAACATTATACGCAACAGGTAAATTTTCAGCCCTTAACCTGCCACTCCCCTTTTAGAGTCCTCAGTGTCTATTATTTCCAGCTTTGTGTCCATGTGCACCCCATTGTTAGCTTCCACTTATAAGTGAGAACATGTGTTGACTTTCTGTTTCTGGGTTATTTTACCCTAGGAGATTGGCCTACAGCTCCATCCACGTTGCTGCCAAGGGCACGATTTCATTCTTTTTATGGCTGCATAGTATTCCATGCTGTATATATACAACAGTTTCTTTATCTAATCAACCATTGATGGACAACTTGATACCATGACCTTGCTGTTGTGAACAGTGCTGCAATAAATGTACAAATGCAGGTGCCCTTTTGATTTAAAAAAAAAAAAAAAAGTTATTTTCCTTTGGGATTTACCCAGAAGTGGGACTGCTAGGTAGAATGGTAGTTCTATTTTTAGTTCTTTGAGAAATCTCCATACTGTTTCCCAAGGAGACTGAACTAACTTACATTCCTACCAACAGTGTATAAGCATTCCCTTTTCTCTGCAGCCTCACCACCATCTTTTTTTTTTTTTTTTGACCTTTTAGTATTAGCCATTCTGACTGGTGTGAGATGGCATCTCATTGTGGTTTTGATTTACATTTCTCTGATGTTCAGTGATATTGAGCATTTGTTCATCTGTTGGTTGGCTGCTTATATGTCCTCTTTTGAGAAATGTGTGTTCATGTCCTTTGCCCACTTTTTAATAGGATTTTTTCTTGTTGAATTGTTTGCATTCCTTGTAGAAATTTGTTGGATGCATAGTTTGCAAATATTTTCTCCCATCATGTAGGTTGTCTCCTTACTCTGTTGATTGTTTATTTTGCCACACAGAAGCTCATTAGCTTATTAATTAAGTCCCATTTGTCTTTTTTTGTTTTTGTTGCATTTGCTTTTGAGGTGTTAGTCATAAACATGTTGTCTAGGCCAATATCCAGAAGAGTTTTTCCTAGGTTTTCTTATTATAGTTTTGGGTACATTTAAATCTTTAATCCATCGTGAGTTAATTTTTGTATATGGTAAGAGATAAGGATCTAGTTTCATTCTTCTGCATATGGCTAGCCAATTTTCCCAGGGTGTCCTTTCCTCATTGTTTATGTTTGTTGACTTTGTTGAAGATCAGTTGGTTGTAGGTATGTGGCTTTATTTCTGGGTTCTCTATTCTGTTCCATTGATCTGTATGTCTATTTTTGTATCAGTAACATGCTTCTTTGGTTATTACAGTCTTACAGTATAGTTTGATGTCAGGTAATGTGATACCTTCAACTTTGTTCTTTTAGCTTAGGATTGCTTTGGCTATTTGGGCTCTTTTTTGGTTCCATATGAATTTTAGAATTGTCTTTTCTAATTCTGTAAAAAACAACATTGGCAATTTGTAGACTGCTTTTGGCAGTATAGTCACTTTAACAATATTGATTCTTCCTATCCATGAGCACGGGATGTTTTTCCATTCATTTGTGTCATCTGTGGTTTCTTCATCAGTGCTTTGTAGTTCTCCTTGTAGGGGTCTTTCACCTTCTTGGTTAAATGTATTATCCTAGGGGTGTGTGTGGGGTGTGTGTGTGTGTCTGTTATTATAAATGGGATTGAGCTCTTGATTTGATTCTCAGCTTGAGCATTATTGATGTAACTGATTTTTGTGCATTAATTTTGTGTCCTGAAACTTTACTGAAGTTATCAGCACTAAGAGTCTTTTGGAGGAATCTTTAGGGTTTTCTAGGCATAAGATCCTGTCATCAGCAGAGATAATTTCACTTCCTCTTTTCCAATTTGGATGCTTTTTATTTTTTTATCTTGCCTGACTGTTCTGGCTAGGACTTCCAATACTATAGGAGTGGTAAGAGTGGAAATTCTTGTCTTGTTCCAGTTCTTAGGGGGAATGCTCTTAGCTTTTTCCCATTCAGTATGATGTTGGCTCTGGGTTTGTCATATATGGCTCTTATTATTTTGAGGTATGTTCCTTCAATGCCAAGAGCTGTGGATCTTTTCCTAGGTTTCAGATGAAGAGATCAGCAAAAATAGTCTAATAAACACTTTATGTCATGAAAAGTTATAAAGCAAGTAACTGGAAACTTAATGTCATTTAAGTATATTAAAATTTTTCCTACCTAGTTTCTTTAGGACTCAGAATATTCTGTTTCTTGAGATATTTTACCAAGAAACTGACTGCCATGTGTACCAACTGTGGATTACGAATTCTCTAAGAATTAGAATCCACACTTAACAGCAAAAGATTCAGAAGGCACTTAAAGGATTGTTCAATTTCTCAAGGTCATCACCGTAAACATTGCTTATTATTCTATCAGAGACACACACGTAGGTAAGAGTAATGAAGAGAATGCCAGACAACAGTCTGTTCTTCCATTTTTCCATTCAATAAGCATTTATTGAGTACTACTTTGTGTAGGCAAAAGCATTGTGGGGACTCAATCATTTAACTAAGCTTCTGTCCATAGAATTTACAATGCTTAATATTCCATCTTTCTAAAGAGTAAAAGGATTTGTCAGTATTCGTAGCCCTTTAAGCCACTAACAGAACCCAAGACTCCTAACACCCCCCTTTCGTTAGAAGCATAAATAAGCAATTATTTCACTTGGTAATTGGAATTCAAATATAAATAATAAGCAAATGGCAGCCTTTATATCTGCCCATTTGCTAATTTTTCTACCATCTTGCCATATCTGCTCTCAGCTACTTAAATATGGGTGAACGTAAAAGCCAGGCAAGCTAACATGAAGGAAATTATGCACATTCTTATTACAATGAATATCAACATCAAGACCTAGTGTTAAAGACAGTCCTAAGCAGTTATATCTCTGGATGATGAAAAGTCTTCAATATAAAGCAAAAGCCATAAGTATTCTGCCAACCAAAGTTCGCTAAGGGAAGCTAAATCAGTATCTATGAAAAAATCCCACACCAGGAATATCACCTTCATGAAGCTGACACCCAACATCAATATTTAAATTTACATATTGTTGCTTATACATTCATTAATATTAATACAAAGAACTTGAGTAAATTGATGTACTTTTTCACTCATAATTTTTCTATTACAGTTAAATATGAAAGGATCAAATTTTTGGTGATTGCCTTAAAGAATGCTGTGGAAATATATGCTTGGGCTCCTAAACCGTATCATAAATTCATGGCATTTAAGGTAAGCAGGGATGTGATTATCTAAAATGTGCTTTTTAAAAATTTTCCGTTTCTACCCATTAATAAAATAGTCCATATAGACCAATACCAATTTTCATATAGATAATAAACCTGTTTTAAAAGTGTAGGTACTCTAGGGTTTATTGTTTCAAAAGTAAAGACTGAATATTTGTAAATGCTATAAAATTAGATTAAAATTTGGGTATGCCCTCCTCCTTGAGATCTATGAATCATCATCCTCAAGAGGCATTTAGAATGGTTAGTAGGCATAGCATTGATTATGATCTTATGCAATGACATTTGTTATAAAGCCACCTAAACCAGGGTATTCCCTGATATTTTGTTTGAAAAAGGCAGACAAATGGCAGCACTGAATCTCAGAGTTAAACTGAGTCTCTTTTAATCCTCATAAATCTTTCTGAATGAAGTCCCTAAAACTCAGGTGATGCTTATATGTCCCCAGTGCTAACTTACAGAAATGACCTAGTTTCTCTGCATTCTTCTATTTTGATTGCCTTTTCATTTTTTTACCTTGTCTAAGTCTGTACCCACCATGGTTGGATTGGTCACTCATGAGATTTGCCAGGAGTGGGATGGGGATATGCTAGTCCTGTTGACCCCAGCTCATGAAGCTGACACCCGAATACCAGGAGGACCAGTACTTACAGGCACCCAGATGTGTTCAGAGCCGCATAACCTATCCATAGCCCAAGTGAACTTATCTTCTGTTTTCTCTCACTCTCTCTCTCTGATCTCTCTCTGTCTCTCTCTCTCTCAGCTTATGTCTGTCTACTTCTTTATGTCTCATTGGCTCTCACTTTTTCTCCCCACCTTTATGACTGTTATCTCCATTTGGCTCCTTATTATTTTCTGCCACATTCTCATGAAGGGCAAAACTGCCCTTGGAACACCATGTAGGCCCACTTCAGAGCTGAATCACTTCTATCTTGTTCCCTTAGGGCAGATGGCTTCTGATGTGCTCAAGAAAATAGATTCATTAATGGAAATGGGCTCCCCTCCATGACCTCACTTTTATGGAAAAAAATTGGAATGCATTAGGTTACTAATAACAAGGGATAACTCCTAAAAGCCAAAGTGGTACTCCTGTTCTGCCAAAATCTATCTCCACAAAAGCTTTTCAATCAACATCCCATTCCCATTCTTGCTCTGAAGTTATTGCCATTATTTTATGACCCAGAGACACATGAGAGAGTGCAAAATGTTCTTTCTGACAGACCCTATCCAGCCCAGAAAGAGGGAAGAGCAAAGGCAAAGACTTGAACAGGAAAGAGTGGAACTGGCAAGAGGCCAAGCCTTCCCATAGGACAAGGACAGGACGCTAGAGCTTCCCATGCTGTCAGAATGGTGTTAGCAAAAGATGAGAAGAGAAGGGTCTGAGAGGTAGCAGTGGCATTATAGTTAAGGCAATTGTAGTTTCACAAATGCTCTCCCAGATCTCAAGGCCCAAAGGTAGAGCGTGGTTAAAAAATAGCAAAGGAAAATGGCAGAGGAACACTTGACAGTTAGTTGGGGCTTGGGCTCTGGATTCAAACACAGAGAACTTTGACAAACTTGGCAAGATCTCTCTTTTTGCTTTCTAGTTAAACCCAAATAGTCAATGCAAGCCATCAATCTTGTGATGTTCCACTCCCACCTCTTTCTCTACCACCCAAACCCAAGTCTCAGATTCCAACATTAAGAGAAAGTGCCAATCTTATGCCTACTCATTCACTGAAGAAAAATCCAAACCAGAGCATGCCCATTAATACTAAACAGGCTGAGAAAACAGCCGGCCTTGGCTGTCCCTCCCAGGCTGTCTCTGAAAGGGTAGTTGCTGTGGATGGGCCTGGTTGCCACATGGGAAAGAGGGGGGCCAGAGAGGTGACTGGGCCTTCTTCAGAGGACAAAGGCCAGAAATAAACAGGAAAAAACAGCAATACCCAGGCACCAGGTTTTTAATATACATTACCACTATCAAAATTTACACCTGTGCACCAACTTAAACTTCACTGCCCCGAAGGACAAAGGGTAGAGAAAGGGGCACAAATGGATGCTAGACCCTTCCTCCTAGGGCCAGAATATCAACAGACCTAAAACTGAAAGAGAAATTTTCTAGTTTTTCACTTTAATAAAGTTAGAAGTTAACTTCCTCTAGACAGTGGCTAAAGGAAAAAAATTAAGATGCCTCTTTGAGTGATGCGGATACTAATGGGGTGATTTTTAAAGTCTTTTGCAGATCTCCAGCACAAGCCTCTGCTAGTTGATCTCACGGTAGAAGAAGGTCAAAGATTAAAGGTTATTTTTGGTTCACACACTGGTTTCCATGTAATTGATGTTGATTCAGGAAACTCTTATGATATCTACATACCATCTCATGTAAGTACTCAGAAGTAGACTTTCAAGGGCTCTCTGTACAACAGCCTGCATGTAGAAAGAGATTTGTTTTGCATAGTTTTAGTAGAAGTCATGCACACTTTACTAACCAGCAAATGGACTTTCGTTCTTCATTAAGTATACTGCTTTTAATAACTAAAATATATAAATTTAACTAATTTTTATGACTTCCTAAAATTGGGGAATACATAATAGAAATCATTTGGCATTTACATGTTGTCTCTTTGGACTTTAGATTAAAATGAATATGACATATTTCTTTCAAGGGCATGAATTATATTCGGTAGACAAGTTTCCACATTCAGTTTTTGAAGGGAAATTCGTTCATTTTATGTTAGAGAAAGCCAATGGTCAGGTACTAATTTATTGGAGAAAATTCTTTTTTTGCTATTTTTAGTTCCTCTCTTCAGCTTGAGGGCAGTGTGGTACACTGGAGTCAGACACAGTGGCTCTAGCATGTATTAGCTTTGCAGTAATGGACACAGTAGGCAGCCTCTCCAATCCTCAGCTTTCGCATCTGTAAAATATGGATAAAAAGACTTATCCCATAGGATTATCATTAGTATTAAATGAGGTAATGGATCTAAAGCAGTTGGTACAGGGCCCTGCAAATTGTAGATCTTCTTATTAGCCCTAAAATATTCATATTACTATCCTGACATATTGCTTGAAACATAACTGTTAAAGGGAAATGCTGCACATGGATTCACTTATTAGGATTAAGTGTAGTGTAAAGTGTGTGTCCTGTGTGTAATCCCAAGACTAACACACAGGAGAAACTATTTATCAGGAATGTTTGAAGCTACCGCTGACTGGTATTTTGAGAGTTTTAAGACTTTATTCTAATGAAACGCAATAACTAAAAGAAGTTGTTTCAGTATATTACATACACACACACGACTGCCATTCATTGCTGCATTATTACCACTTTTAACTCATGTGGATGTGGGTGAACACAAGGACTCACAGCTCACATTCCTGGTGAGGCAGCTAAGGTGTAACTATGATAATCCTCAACTCTCTTAGTCCAATCTGTCAAGCACATGTTGGGCTGCCATGGCATTCTCAACTAGGGGATCACAACAACATCACATTTCCTTTCCTAGAACAAATTAATATACACTTATTTCAATAGTGATTTTTTTTTTTTTTTTTTTGGATACGGAGTCTCGCTCTGTCACCCAAGCTGGAGTACAGTGGCGTGATCTCGGCTCACTGCAAGCTCCGCCTCTCCTGGGTTCACACCATTCTCCTGCCTCAGCCTCCCGAGTAGCTGGGACTACAGGTGCCCACCATCATGCCCGGCTAATTTTTTGTATTTTTAGTAGAGACGGGGTTTCATCGTGTTAGCCAGGATGGTCTCGATCTCCTGACGTCGTGATCCGCCCGCCTCGGCCTCCCAAAGTGCTGGGATTACAGGCATGAGCCACTGTGTGCGGCAATAATGATTTTTTTTAATGAGTGGTCATTCTAAATATTTTTTCTAACCAAGCCATGAATTATTCTGGCATTTAGACACCCGGATAAACAATCCTATATATATATTTTTTTTTCACAGATTATTTTGGTAGTTCATTTTGACCCCACTTAAGCTATCTCCATTAGATTCAGCTGGCTTACATTCTCCTCATCTTCTTTTGGAAGTGGTTGTGCTAATAGAAAACACATTAATTTCAACGTCAGCAAGATATACACAAATCCCAACTCTACCAACAAATACTAGCACAACTTTGGTTAAGACACAAAGCCCTTCTGAGATGCAGTTTCCTCATCTGTAAACAAAGCTATCTACCTTGGGGAGCTATTGTAGGTACTAGAAATTATATATGTAAAGGGCCCCATGACTGGCACATAGTAGGTGTGCCATAGATTTACATGCTCTTTTTAGGAACAGGTAAATTGAATTTTTAATCTAGTGACTAAGTTTGATTTACCAGGGTATTTTACAAGTCAGTGGTTAAATTAAAGCAAATTTCAGTCTTTAGGGTGACAATGAAAATAAACAAAAACCTCTTTTTTGCAGTTGTTAGAGATGAATAGTCAAGGTGTTTTATTTTTTAAAAGAATAATGCTTGGCTTTTCTTTGTCTTCTAGATTCAGGGCAATATCACTCCTCATGCTATTGTCATCTTGCCTAAAACAGATGGAATGGAAATGCTTGTTTGCTATGAGGATGAGGGGGTGTATGTAAACACCTATGGCCGGATAACTAAGGATGTGGTGCTCCAATGGGGAGAAATGCCCACGTCTGTGGGTAGGTTAACCATTCCTTATCTCCTTCAGCAGTTACACCCCCCAAATGAAACGAAAATCAAGAAATGTGAAACAACCATTTGATTCCACAAAAAAAAAAAAAAAAAAATCTGTGAATAACTCTTGTAAGACTTGCTTTGTCCATTTATCTCAAGTCGTTTGTCATTTTTGTGGTTAAGATGTGAACAGATGCTGTGAGTTATTGCCCATCTAATGTTTTTAATGCAGTTTTGGAAATTCCTTTTGACAGCCTACATTCATTCCAATCAGATAATGGGCTGGGGCGAGAAAGCTATTGAGATCCGGTCAGTGGAAACAGGACATTTGGATGGAGTATTTATGCATAAGCGAGCTCAAAGGTTAAAGTTTCTATGTGAAAGAAATGATAAGGTAAATCCGTTTCAACATTTGCATTAGTGTTTGCATTTTAAGAGACCACCAGGTACCTGTGAAACCTTCATTTTCCTTTATACTGATTTGAATCACATCTGTGTTAAACAATCAATATTATCTTGAAATGGCATTATTTGGTTTGATCCATGTGAGCACTCAATATATTATTCACATGTCAAAAACTACATAAAAACATTTAGAAATTTCTTGTAAACCTCTTAGAAACCTTTGTGGCCTAAAGGCCTTTTGATGACTCAGCAGACACCCCAAATTCTCCTAAGCACTTAGAGCAGTTGGCCCATCATTAATCATCTCACAGTGGGTCAACTTTATACTTCCACTTTTAGACTTTTCACAAAGTCACTTTCAAGACCTAACCAATCACCTTATATTCACCTTTAAATCCAAAACATTTGACGTTTAGAAATATAAGCTTTTTAAAAATGTCACCCATTCCTTAAGGAATGCACAATCACAAACTCAACTAGTGCCATGTCTTGTGTCATTCCAGCCATGTTTCTTCTGAAATGTCATAGGTGAACTGTTTTCCAGTGAAATTGGCTGTGTCCGTCTGGCATGATCAGTGACCTCAGAGGGGTATTCTGCAGCAGTACTGCTTCTCCCTTACCCTCCCTGTAGAGTAACCCCGAGGTTTTAGTAGCTAAGCCATACTGCATTTGTGAATTCATCCTTTGTGGCTGTGGCCAACATAGAAATGCTGTCCCCAAAGCCACAGACATAAACGCCTATAGAAAAACAGTATGATGGGTTGAATTTTTGTATATCCCTTTGTCCACCCCAGTTCCCCAAAGGTCAGGTTGGTCTTAGTCCAAACCTGGTGATGTGGGCCTAAACTATATTCAACCCTGGCCCACTACTCTGACCTGATGTGGTCTGGGTGGACAGTAGCTGCAGGTGGCAAAGATGGTTCCAGCCATTTAGATTTCCCAGAAAACAAACATAACCTAGTAAAACTCCAGCTCCCACCCAGTCTCTAAGAATCAAAAAACCAGGAGTGATCTGGGTATGGATACCCACATTCCGATTGAAAACCTACCCCAGCAGGGCTGTTCCAAGCCATGCCACACCCTTAGGAGTAGGCTGGGGCCACACCAGTTGTCTGCAACCCAAGGTTTACAGCCAGGGGCACACAACTTGGAGGGAAGAGCAGCCCTTTCTTTTCTTCATTGTGGTTTTCCATAGGCCCTCTCTGTCCTTCTCCGTTTTGATTCATTGACCCTAAGAGTAGCATTACTTTCATATGCAGCATTAGGTGAATGTCAAGCATTTCCAGAGACCTCCCTAAGAAGTTGTTGTTAGCATTCTTCTGAAGAAGCTGTAGAAATGAAGTAGCAGAGACTTTAGACTAGTGACAAAAGCAACTACCTAACAAAAGTTAGGTATTGACTGACTGAAGGGCTAGGCCATAGCCCAAAATATTACTTTCCTGGGGCAGTGGTTCTTTAACATTAAACATTCAGCTCAAGCAAGCAGTAACCCAAATTTTTCTCACGTTTGTCAGTTGTTTGATAAAATGACTTAACAGACTCAGACCTAATGGACTGTGGTTCTCCTCATTAATGCTATGATCTCATTTGCCCTGGGATATGCCACCATCAGCAGAGAAACCATGCGTTAACTCTTGAAATGCCAAAATGAGTAGGCATTAAATACCTTGCCCTATCTGACCACACTATTTAATGTTTTTATCTTAAATTTAAAAAACTGAAATCTGAAACTGTATGATAGTCAGTAGGCCTAAAACTCCCCCTTGACTTTGAGAATTTGAAGGGATTCCCTTCCATCCTGAAGTCTACTTTCTTGTCATTTAAGGGTGAGAGAAGGGAAGCTTCTGTGCCTTTCTAGAAATTAACAAAGAACCTGTTGGGTCCTAGACCAGAAATCCAGCACGTTATCCTAGCATGAAACTCCCTTTTAAAAAGTGAACACCCAAAGAGATGTTACAAATGAAGATATAGCCCCTTCAGCATCTCTGGAGACCAATACCACAATAAGGAATAATAACAACCTAGGAATAAAGGCAGGAGTTTTTACATAGGATGCACGATATCCAAAGGGACTTTATAAACACAAGCCATTGAGTCTTAAGACCTGACACATGGCAAGGATAGGACATGTGAGAGAAAATGGATGGACGGTTGAAGAAAAGAGGGGAAAAGACCATGCAGTTGAACTAACTTCTTTTTAATTTCAAACAGGTATTTTTTGCATCCGTGCGATCTGGAGGAAGTAGCCAAGTGTTTTTCATGACCCTCAACAGAAATTCCATGATGAACTGGTAACAGAAGAGCACTTGGCACTTATCTTCATGGCGTTATTTCTAATTTAAAAGAACATAACTCATGTGGACTTATGCCAGTCTAGAGGCAGAATCAGAAGGCTTGGTTGAACATATCGCTTTCCCTTTTTCCTCTCCCTCCGCCCCTCCCAGTACAGTCCATCTTTCAATGTTGCAGCCTGGTTGAGAAGGAGAGAAAAAGGTGGCAGGAATTTCCAGGAGATCCCCAAGAATGCTGCCTTGTCTGTGGACAAAGATGGACCATGTGCCCTTCGGAATTAGGGATAGAAACAAATATTGTGTGCTCTTAACGATTAAGCTGTGTTATGGTGGGTTTTCAGGTTTTTACCTTTTTTCTTTACCCCTTTACTCTGCAAGAATGGGGAAAGAATGCATACTGCGAAAATGAGTCTTTTAAATTCTGTCTGCCTACTAGTTTTAAGTATATGGTATGTTGTAAAATTTCCAATGATGAGAGACAGCACAATAAATGTACCTTATCTCCTTAGGCTGAAGGCCATAACTACATAGTGGAGTAATTTAAGAACTCTCTTGCCTTCACCAACCCAAAAGGTTGCTTTTTGATAGCAACTGGCTAATGAATTTTTAAAAAGAGAAGAAAAATACTAGTTTTCCCCTCTTTTGGGAAATAGATTTTAAATGGCTAAACTACTAGCCTTAAAACTACTAGTCTAATAAAATCAACTACCACTTTTGTGAATCTGACAGGCCACATTTTTATATGGCCCTTTACAGAATGGAGTGTGTTGAACAGGATACTAACGCCATTGAGTTGAGCTGGCCTAGCGATGGAGGGACACTCTAACACAACTTTCCCTCAGCTATTATGCAACAGATCAGGGAAAAAGATGGGATGACAGATGGGGTCAGACAGAAAGAGCTTCTGGGAAACAAGCTTACATAGTCTTTTTTAAAATGCACAAAGCCTCCCAGCTAAGAGGTCACTTGGTTTGGGCTTCATTAGGACTGAGACTTTGTTGAGTTCTTTCTGGGACTTGGAGAGTGGATGATATTCAGGCTCTGAACATTCCCAGCGCTCTCCCGAGGGTGCCACTTTCTCAAGATGAAAACTGTGACTGAAAAAATTAATAATAAATGTTTCTGAGCTGCCTGTGTTCTCCCTGTGTGGGTGAGAGAAGGGACTAGACTCCTAAGCCTGCCTCAGATACAAGAGGCATCATTGGCTCCAATTTTAGAGAACTTGAAAGCAAGGCTTTGGACAAAATTTTGAGACCCTAATCACTTTACCTTCCTCCAAATTACCCAACATACGGTAAACAACATTTGTGCAGAAGTATGTATGTATTTAGTTCAGGTTGACTTGTGTCCTTATAAACTCTTACTCAAATGATTTGAACTTTTATGCGACTGGGATTTTTTTTTTCCAAAGCTACAAGCATGGCCGCCTGTGGTATCGAGGTGTTGCAAACAATATCTGTGTTGCGCTTCCTGTTTTAACCTACCTCGTTTTGTTTGTTTTTGTTTCACTGTTCATCACAGCAGTGTTATCTCCAGGAGACATATAGAGAGCTCAACCGGCAATCTCAGGTGCATTTAACATTTTTAAAACGAAACAGTAGTTGACCAAATTTTTCTTCTTAAAAAATTGGAAGTGGGGGGAATCCAATGACAAAAACTAATGTGGCTTGTTTCTGGAGAAAATAATTACTGTAAATGGAACAACAACAACAAAAAAAACTACGATCTTACTGACTTTGCCTAAATACACAAGCAGCTGATGTACTATTAATGAGAACGAAATACACATTAGGAAAATGGAGCCATTTCAATCTAGTGGTTTGGGCAAGATGGGGAAGAGAAGGGGAAACATTCTAGTTTCTGGATTACATTATTATGCCCCTCCTGAAAAGGTGGTTGTCATTTGCATTTATTTAAAGCAGGTAATATGCAGGAATGTAACTGAGGATTATCTTCAGGCAATCAGCAAGATATCCTCCTCATGGTCCCTTTAGCTCTCAAAAGCAATGAAATCCTCCTGTTCTCATTTTTACTGCTGTGGTTGTGCTGCTGAACAATACTATCTTCTCAAATTCCATGCCACAAATTCAGCAATAACTTTTTGGATTGAATTTAACAACTACTGTAATTGGATGCTGATGTGGACAAAATATATTGATTTCGATTTCACTCCCGAATGTGATTGCCACCAGCTCTTTATATTGCTGCTGTGGTATTTTAAACCAGAAGCTTCTTTAAATTATGTTGCAAACTGATCTTTGTTTTTATGTTTTGTTTTGTTTTTATTTCTAAGTGATAAGTTTGAAACACACAGCTTTAAATGATTTTTTTATTGTGGGATTTTGGGTACAGTTAAGAAATAAAAGGGAATCATTGTGTTTAAACATAAGGTAGTTTGTGAATGTATTTTTTAAAATCTAGAGTCATTGAAACAAATCATAAGAAAACAATATTAATGCAGTCTTGTTTACAGTATGTACAGTGACATAACATAGAACATGAGCTTTTCTGGTGCCAACAACAATAAAACACACGTTAAACATCAAGCCATGCCTTTTATATTTTTGTACTAATATTTTACACTGAGTACAAGGCAAATCCAAATTTAAATGGGCCCCCCAGAAATCTGTGCTCTTTAAAAGACAGATATTTAAAGAATTCACTGAAGCTTTTATCTTCAAAAATAAATTTTCCTCCAGCAAGACAGACCCCAGCCCTGACATAAGGAGGCCTAGAACATGCAGAATACGTCAGAATGGTGTCCTTGTGGCTCATCCAAACTTTCTGAATTGCCTTAATTCTTTTTGGGGGTAGGGGAGGAACGGTTGCTTTTCATCCATTTTTATAGCATCTCAACAAAAAAAATCTTCAGTTCTGATCTTTTTATAGGTGATTTTGTCTCTAGAAATTGGCTCATTTTATTTTTATTTTCCTACAAAGAGAAACTGGAGAAACTGAGCCCTCCCCTCAGAGTAAGTTTCACTAGATCTGCCAGTTCTTACTGCTCTAAATTAATAATCATCCAGTAAAATCTACTGAGCCTGCCCACACCATAGTCTGGGTCTGGGGTCTGGCAGGTGACCATCATTCCTGGGTGCCAGTCAAAGATACTGTAGCATGGATTCCTGCATCCAGTGGTGGTAGGAATGGATGACCAGTGAAGTTCCTTCAAATAATGAGGCTCTTCCCCCTGCCAGTTCCAGCCAGACCACTGTCATAACACACAATGCAAATGAAGACAGCCTTCACTAAGTTCCACATAAAATTGAACAGCTCTATTTTAGATAGATCTCATTATTTTTCTTGGAGACTTCTAAACAATCCTTCAAGAAGACCTAGAACTATTATTTTTATTAAACAGGGTATATTAAGTTATGGGTGAAATCTCACAAGGTCACCTGGACAGGGGCTCCATTTTTCTAACACTTTGACATTGTTTTCTAGGGTGCACTCCTAATATACTTTGCATCAAGTACATGTTTTTTAAAAACACCTTAGTTCCTGGTTGTCAAAACCTACTAACAATTTTTGTCTGTTCTTGTGACTCATTGGTAATTGGTGTCTCTGGTCCCTCCTGTCCAGTAGATTATTAGAAAGATGTGAAATTCCAGCCAGAACCATTTTGGTTTTATCCACTGCCAGGAAAGGAAGGGGCTAAAGTCTCACATTCCACGAAGCTTTTAAAAAAATGCTTTCCCTACTACTATGTGTACCAGTTCCCGTCACTGTATTCTTGAAACGTGGAAGAGCTCTTTGTGTTAACAGTGTGTGCTGTCTTTGAAAGTCTGCTTGAACAGGCATCACTTGCATTTGTGCTGATTGCTTTAAGATGTAAGATGTGCTACATTATTTTTAAGAAAAAAAATAGTTATTGATAAAACTTTTAATTTTAACCTACTGCAGGAAAACATGAGAAAATCCACAGCATGCTGATAACAATTCTGAATGATGCTACTATGCTCTTTATATTCCAGAATCACCACTGGTACCATGTTCTGATCATTTCAACAGTCTCTAACTTGTTAGTTACCTTTTAGTTCATTCTTCAAAATTTAAATCTAACCAAATCAAGCAAAACATAACCAACCAACCAAAAACTGACCTCCCCTGAGACTACATAGTTGTAACATAAATCTAAAATCCAAAAGTCTAAATTTGATTTAATTTACCTGCTAATATTTCTCATAAATGCCACTATATCTCCTTGGTCACTATATATCAGGAACCCTAAAGTAAGCTGTCCTTTCATGGATCTTAAATAAATTGGGTGTAAAATTGATCACTTTTCAGGAGTCCCAGCAAAGAAGAAAACCTCTTGAGAATTTGCAAGTTCAAAACTGACAATTTGTATATTCCTACCAAACATTTTCTAGGTTGTTTTTATTTCTACACCATTATTCTGGGAATTCTTCCATTGATAACTAGAATATTCAACAGTTTGCTTAGCATTAAACAGTGTGAGATCATAACCCTGTGCTTTGGACTTTATTCTTCTAGACCTGCCATTCCAGGAAGTGCCAGAATATACCAAAATAAAAATCCCCATAAAAGCATTTTTAAACAAAAATCCCTGGGTAATGTTTGAGTTATTTTAAATCTAGATCAAAATCTTGGATTCTTCTGAGTCCATGATGACAAATGTTTGGATGAAAAGTAGAAAATACAGTTAAAAATAAAAATGTCCTAAAGTTTACAGATTTTTGAGTTTGTGTACATATCTTCAAACTCACTCCTTGCATGATAGGGTTTGGTTTTAATGGTTTATTTTTATCAGCACCAAGTTGCATTGCACTATTGAGGCTGAGCAAATGCTGGTGGAAAGGTGAGTTTTCATTTCTGGCAATGGATCATTATTTGTACACTGTAAATATCATGCCCAGCTACCCCTTTCCCTTATCTCTTCCCCTGGGATAAATGTTAAGGAATAGTAATACTTATTATGGTATGTTTAAGAAACCTTGGACATTACCCTGAATCAAAACTTCAAATGTTAGGTGGCAGCAGGAAACAAAAGATTACAGCTTGAATGAAATTTTAAAATTGAATGTTGTAAAACTATTTTTGAACGTTTTAGCTGCCTTATTTATGTTAATATAACTGTAGAGAGATGCCAAATGTATAATATCAGAAGGGAAAACTACGATTTTGCTGTGCCTACAATTGTTTACATTTTTTAAATCTCCAGTTTTCAAAAGTATTTTAAATTGTCAAACATTTGCTAAAACTGGATTATAACCTCACCTGAGAATGAGAGAAGAAAATCTTCCTGGCATATTTTCCAGTCTGAAACTTTTGGTTACTTTCAGGTATTTTTTTTCTTGCATACAAAAATCATTGAGAAAGTACTTTCTACAGTTATTCTAAGCAGTCATTAAAAATGCTTTGATAGGTTTCCCCACATGGTAACTACCATGTCCTGGAATATAATATGCTATCTTTGTCAAAATATGAATAATAAAACATTAATCGTAGGATGCCTCCTTGTTCCTCATTGCCACTTCCAAACTATTCTCCTTTCCTCCTCCTGAACACTCATTGTTTTGAAGCTGTTGACATCAGCCTCCCAAGTCCCTACATTACCCTCTTTTACTCCTTCTCATTGCTCAAGAATTTTAGGTTTTGGCTCACTGTTGCTCTCTTTACCACCACCCTGTCATCATTCTTGATTATTTCAATATCCACTTAAGACAGTCCTACAAATACCCTGGCTTCTTGGTTCCCTGATCTTGACCAGTGAAACTTATCATTGCTAATTACTACATCAGCTCCTTAAGTGATAGCAGACAATTCTTATTTGCTCTAGGTAAATCCCATTCAACCTCACCAAATAAAGATCATTGCCCCAGAAACCGAATCCTCTCTTCTGCATCCCCTATTCTATTTCACTGTATTTTGAGTTTAATTGTATTCTGCAGTGTATCTCGCTGTGTTCTGTATGCTGCAGTATCTCCGGTCTTCAACACCCTCCTTGGCCCCATTACCCTGTCTAACTGAAACGGCCCAATAGTCCCATAGACAGTTGTTTTTGGATAAACATAGAAACTGACCCTTTTGCTGTTAAAGCTTGAAACTTGTATTTGTTTTCCTTCAGGCCTCTCAAAAAAGTATCAAAGAACTGGAACTCAACAGATCATAGCACCAGATGCCTTCTTGCCCCTCCTTAGTTCCTGTTTTCTTACACATTGTTACATTTCTTCCCTGCTATATAAATGCCTAGTTTTGGTCAGTCAGGGAGATGGATTTGAGACTAAGCTCCCATCTCCTTGGCCGCAGCACCCGACCAAACCAAAGCCTACTTTCTTGGCAATACTTGTCATCTCAGTGATTGGCTTTCTGTGTGGCAAGCAGCAGGACCTAGACCAAACCTAGTGTTTCGGTAACGTAACTACCATCTTATTTATCTGTTTCTCTTCACAGAAAAACTCTCTAGGGGGAACTGTGTATACTTACTGTCCTAAATTTCTCTCCTCCCTTGGTCTTTTGAACCAACTCAAATCAGGCTTTCATCTCTACCACAGCAGCTCTTGCTAAGGACACCAGCGACCTCCATGCTTTCAAATGCAATGGTTAGGTCTCTGGCTTCATGCTGCTTGAGTTATCTGCAGTCTTTGACATAGTTAATAATTACTTCCTTCTTGAAATGCTTTCTCAGTTCTGGGGCATCTTTCTCATGTTCTCTCACCTTCCTGGCCACTGCTTCTCAATCTCCTTGGCTGACTTCTTGGAGTGCCCCAGTCCTAGGCATCCCCCTCTAAGTGATCTCTCCCAGTCCTGGGGCTTTAAAAACTATACACTTACAACACCCACATTTTAATCTCCAGACCCAACCTCTTCCCTGAATGCCAAATAAAACTGGCATACAATTTAACTAATTTCCTATGAAGCACCTTCATTTGGATGTGTCATTGGCATCTCAAACTTGACATGTTCACCAATCAATACACAGTATTCCTCTTATTCATGGTTTCATTTTCCTTGGTTTTAGTTACCTGCGATTATCTGCAGTCTAAAAATATTAAATTGAAAATTCCAGAAATAATTCCTAAGTTTTAAATTGTGCACCGTTATGAATAGTGTAATGCAGTCTTGCTCCATCCTGCTACACCCCACTCAGGACATGAATCATCCCTTTGTCCAGCGTATCGATGCTGTAAACATCACCTTCCCCTTAGTCACTTTGTAGCCATCTTGGTTATCAGATAGACTGTCATGGTATCACAGTGCGTGTGTTCAAGTAACCCTTATTTTACTTAATGGCCCCAAAGTGCAAGAGTACTGTGCCTAATTTATACATTAAACTTTATCAGAAGTATGTATAGATAGGAAAAAAAATAGTATGTATAGGGTTCAGTATTATCCACAGTTTCTGGCATCCACAGTGGGTCTTCAAACTCCCCCTCAGATAAGGGGGTACTACTGAACTCCCATTGCAATCCTCCCTGTGCCAGTAAATGGCAGCTCTATTCCTTCACACCAGAAAATCTCGTTATCCTTTATTTTTCACTTTCACATACCACATCGAATCCATTTCTTTTTTAATCCTGTTTTCCCTAGTTTCAGAATATATCCACAATCCACTCTGGGTCCAAGCCACTTCTTGCCTGATATGATGGTGTTAAAACATATTCCAGGTTATGCTACTTTTCTGCTAGTCCCTCAATGCCTTCCCATCTCACCTGGAATGTCAACATCCTTACAGTGGCCTAGAAGGGCATTGTGATAATCTGTCCTACTTTTGGCCCCACCTCAGCCGCCACTGCCACTTCTCTGACCTCATCTATTTCTTTTGTCACTTTGCTAAAGTCACACTGGCCTCCTTCCTTCACCCAGAACACCCTCAAAGCATGTTCTGTCTCAGAGTCTTTGTCCTTGCTGTCTCTCAGTCTCAAAACTTCCCCCATATGCCTACATAGCTGACTCCCTCCCTTCAGGTCTCTGTACAAATATTCCTGTACTGTCAGAGACCTGTGTCAAATAACTTCTCATCCCCCCACTCATTTTCTGCTTCATTGCCTTTCACAGTACTTATCACCATATACTTTGCTTACTGGTCCGTCTCCAGTGCTTTGAAGAATGCTTGGCAAATATTAGTCACTCAGTAAATATCTGTTGGATGAAAGAATGAATGAAAATAATAACAGAGCTTTGGAATTTTTTAAAGGGTAAAAAACTATATGATTAATTTCAGTTTCAAAAAAAAAAAAACACTGTCTCCAAAGTTTATATCATAAAAGCATAGGTTTTATGTCATATAGAAAATAGAAAACCCTACAGATTTTCTTTCCTGGAAGGCTATTGTGGATGGAAGACACCGGGCTATGACCCTGGCTATACTTTCTTGCTCCATGAATCATCCTAACAGGCCAAGTTGCAGGAACGTAAGAAGGGCTGTCATATAGAACCATGAGAAAAGCAGTATTTCAAAACTCTTACATTTTTACAGATAATGATCCATTTTAAGCTATTGGCATTGCAATAAATGCAGTTATTGGATGTGGGTGGGGATTCTGAATTTTGTTTTCTGGTCTAAATGTTTAAAAAAACAATTTTTTTTTTCTGAAACAAGAAATAAACAACAGTGAAAGTATCCTCCTGCCAAATGCAGCTTGAAGACAGCCTAATGACATTTGGGTCTTAACAATCTTCCAAGGACAACAATTCTGCCTCCCTGGGAAGCCTCTAACATCTGTATATATTCAGCTCCACTGAATGTTGCATGAAGTTTCATTGTAGAAAATTGACACATGCCTTCTGATTAATCTGTTGTTTCACTCAGTCTTGTAAAGGGCACACCCTGTAGTTTCCATTTGTTCAATCATGTATTTTCCTGCTCACTTAATAAATCTTTTTAAAAAATAAAGAAGGAAGATAACAAAATGATGTCATATGAAGCAATATAACAGTGAAAGAATTTTTTTTTTGGTCCTCATTACTTTTTGTGTCTTTTCACAAATCTGTTGAGATTAAGGATAGTGTGTAATTCATGCTAAATAGCTAGGATCAAGGTCTTCACCTTTCCAGGACCAAAAGCATTTTGGAGTTCCATGGTGCTTAGTTACAGATTCCTGAGGTCCTGTTGAAAAATGCAGGACATTAGTTTCAGGGATAGATGGAAAATATGAAAAAGATGCTAAGAAATGGGACAAGGTGTCACAGTCATTGTGAACAATCTAGATTATCACAAACTCCAGTTAAGATACAAAAACATTTTCAAAGTGAGTTCTCTATATGTGAAAAAAAATATTTTAGGGTGTTGGTTTTCTTTAAAATTGTAACTCAACAGCTTAAATACATGTTTTTATATTTTCATAAGCAACTAAATCCATGTTCTATGACAATAACAATTTGATATAGGGTTATCTCCCTCCAAAAATTAGTCATCTTCATGTCCAAAGTTCAATGTTAATTTACCCATAGTCATGAGGGCAGGGATCAGCAGCATCACGGTCTGATGAACATTTTCAGCACTGTACCCAGTGCTCCATGGATCTCAGGTTATCTTTTATTATTAAACCCATTTAATAAGAGAGATGGCAGTTGAAAAATTGAAGGATTTAGAGCTAGAAGGCATCACTGGAGCAGAAAGAAACAGCATAGCCTTCAGGTCAACTTGATACTCTTCCCCCATCTCATTCCTTCTCACTAGAATAGCCACATTCATAATTGGAAGCCTAGCCAGCTCAGGCCAAAGTTATCATTAGTCCAAGGAAAAATGACCAAAAAGGACAGCATAGTGAGTTTTGTATAAAAGCTCATTTAAAGATCGTCTTATTTGGAGATGGTGTGCCCTCATTTTAGTGTTACAATGTATTTGAGAGCTGATGCTGATAATAAATGGCTATTTTATTAAATGCTCTAGTTTGGCAAAATTAAAAGTTGACAGTTTTGTTGTTCTTCACAAGATTTGGGGTTGAGTGGGTGTATTATTAGTCCATTTCATTACTACTGATAAAGACATACCCGAGACCGGACAATTTACAAAAGAAAGAGGTTTATTGGACTTACAGTTCCACGTGGCTGGGGAGGCCTCACAATCATGGTGCAAGGTGAAAGGCACGTCTCACATGGCAACAGACAAGAGAAGAGAGCTTGTGCAGGGAAACTCCCATTTTTAAAAGCATCAGATTTTGAGAGACTTACTATCACGAGAACAGCACAGGAAAGACCTGCCCTCACGATTCATTCCCTTCCCACCAGGTCCCTTCCAGGACACATAGGAATTCAAGATGAAATCTGGGTGGGGACACAGCCAAACCATATCATTCTGCACCAGGCCCTTCCCAAATCTCATGTCCTCACATTTCAAAACAAATCATGCCTTCCCAACAGTTCCCCAAAGTCTTAAGTCAGCATTAACTCAAAAGTCCACAGTCCAAAGTCTCATGTGAAACAAGGCAAGTCCCTTCCACCTATGAGCCTGTAAAATCAAAAGCAAGTTAGTTACTTCCTAGATGCAATGGGGGTACAGGCATTGGGTAAATACAGTCATTCCAAATGGGAGAAATTGACCAAAACAAAGGGGCTACAGGTCCCATGCAAGTCCAAAACCCAGCAGGGCAGTCAAATCTTAAAGCTCCAAAATGATGTCATTTGACTCCATGTCTCACAACCAGGTCATGCTGATGCAAGAGGTGGGTTCCCATGATCTTAGGCAGCTCCACTCCTGTAGTTGTGCAGGGTCCAGCCTCCCTCCCAGCTGCTTTCATGGGCTGGCATTGAGTGTCTGTGGCTTTTCCAGGCGCACAGTGCAATCTATTGGTTGATCTACCATTCTGGGGTCTGGAGGATGGTGGCCCTCTTCTCACAGCTCCACTAGGTGGTGCCCCAGTAAGGACTCTGTGGGGGCTCTGACCCCACATTTCCCTCCCACGCTGCCCTAGCAGAGGTTCTCCATGACAGCCGCACCCCTGCAGCAAACTTCTGCCTGGGCATCCAGGTGTTTCCTTATATCCTCTGAAATCTAGGTGGATTTCAAACCTCAACTGTTGACTTCTGTGTGCCCACAGGCTCAACACCACATGGAAGCTGCCAAGGCTTGGGGCTTCCAACCTCTGAAGTAACAGCCCAAGCTGTACTTTGGCCTCTTTTAGTCACAAGACGAAGGGCACCAAGTCCCTAGACTGCACACAGCAGAGGGACCCTTGGCCTGGCCCACAAAACTATATTTTCCTCCTAAATCTCTGGGCCTGTGATAAGAAGGGCTGCCCCAAAGGTCTCTGACATGCCCTGGAGACATTTTCCCCATTGTCTTGGGGATTGACATTTGGCTTCTCATTACTTAGGCAAATTTCTGCAGCGGGCTTGAATTTCTCCTCAGAAAATGGGATTTTCTTTTCTATTGCATTGTCAGGCTGCAAATTTTCTGAACATCTATGCTCTGTTTCCTTTTAAAACTCAATGCCTTTAACAGCACCCATGTCATCTCTTGAATGCTTTGCTGCTTAGCCAAATACCCTAAATCATCTCAGTCAAATTCAAAGTTCCACAAATCTCTAGGACAGGGGCAAAATGCTGCCAGTCTCTTTGCTAAAACAACAAGTCACCTTTGTTCCAGTTCCCAACAAGTTCCTCATCTCCATCTGAGACCACCTCAGCCTGGATTTCATTGTCCATATCATTATCAGCATTTTGGTCAAAGCCATTCAACAAGTATCTAGGAAGTTCCAAACTTTCCCACATGTTCCTGTCTTCTGAGCCCCTCCAAACTGTGCCAACCTCTGCCTGTTACCCAATTCCAAACTCACTTCCACATTTTGGGGTATCTTTTCAGCAGTACCCCACTCTACTGGTACCAATTTATTCTATTAGTCCATTTTTACGCTGCTGATAAAGACATACACAAGACTGGGCAATTTACAAAAGAAAGAAGTTTATTGGACTTACAGTTCCAGATGGCTAGGGAGGCCTCACAATCATAGCAGAAGGCAAAAGGCACATCTCACGTGGCAGCAGACAAGAGAAGAGAGCTTGTGCAGGGAAACTCCCATTTTAAAACCATCAGATTTTGTGAGACTTATTCACTATCAAAAGAACAGTACAAAAAAGACCTGTCCCCATGATTCAATCACCTCCCATCAGGTCCCTCCCACAACACATGGGAATTCAAGATGAGACTTGGGTGGGGACACAGCCAAACCATATCAGTGGTGGAGACTTCAGTTTTCTTGTTGAAATTTTTCCTAGCTAGTAACATCTAAAAATATATGGTAACAACTGCTGTAGAGAACTTTTACAAAAGTCCAGACCTTATTTCAGTATAGAAATATACTGCCCATCTCAAAAATTGATAGGAAAAAACCCAAGAGCATCACCCAGCACTGGAAACAAAGCAGACACCCTGCCTAATGTCCATGATTTATATTTATTTTGCTGGCTTCATCAAGTAAGTGGAATTTAAGAAAGCTCTATAGGCTTTAGTGCCATCACAGTGGATATGCTGTGAAACAGACGACACAGCGAAACTCAGAAGTCATAAGCTAACTGCATCCTAGTCACCTCATTTACCAAAAGAATTCATTCCCAATTTTTAAAAGTATGATGAGTTCACCTCCTATCTACCTCAGAAACAGAAAAGCAACAAAAAGTTTAGTAACAGTTTTAAATAAAGCTGCATTTTATAAGCCACATTCATTTTTAAAATAATTACTATACATATGAATCATTTATTTAGGCTACAAACAATGCCTGGTATACAGATGGGGTGTTGGACCTCTTGATATATCACCCAATCCCTGGTCTTAGACCATGGTTTGGAAAATTTTTAACTGTCAATATTTTCCCTGAGAATCCCCTTTTTGTTTTGGTTGTGTTTTATGGCAACGTTTTAATGTGGATAACATGTTAATGGTCATTGTTTCAGCTCATTTTAATATGGCTGCCCTTATCACCTTTAGATGTCAGAGAATTCAATATCATCATCGTATTTTTTTTTTTACCTGTTTATATGCCATCTTATTTTTTAAAACATTTGAGGCAGCTATAATCTGGCTTCTGAGGAGCCACTAAAGCAGTATGTACTATCTACGTGAAGGAAAGCAAAGTAGCCATTTATCTATCAGCTGTCTATTCTATAACAGGCCTCATACTGGATGCTGAGGCAGAAAGAGGTGATGGAGAAACGATCTCCCTAGGTTGCAGGGGACATGAGGAAGGCAGGAGACATGAACAGAGATAATGACAAAGAACAGAGTCAGTCATTTGATAGAGGATTTCAAGGATTGCATGGGACAAAAATGAAGGGATATGGCCTTCATAAGACATTGGGAGAGGAAAAAAAAGAGAGAGGCTTTCCAGCCTGAGGGAGAGACTTGAACAATGGCACAGAGGAGTGGAAGAGCATGTGGGTACAGAAATGGGAAATCATTCAATATGGCTAGAGAAAGTGCTAGTGGAGCAGGAAATTTGACTACATGAATGTTGTCAAAAGACAACATTACAACAAATTTAGTTTAAAGATCTTAATTGGCTTTCATTATCAGTTTTAGAATTGGGCAGCCCTCACTCAAGACCAGAACAGGTTCAAAGAACTCTGGGCCTGCAAACTGGTCAGATGACATTATGGACAGAAAACAACAGTGACAGCTTACCAAGTGTTTTTCCTTACTTGAATCAGCTGGTGGCCAATCAGTTGAAATTAAACTGCTGTGATTGCCTAAGATTCAGCCACGTGTTACAAGAGTATATTCCTAAGATAGGCCTTCAGTCAATCTATGTACAAAACCAGGTTTCAGTTTGCCATGTAAAGCCTCAAGCACAGAGGTATCCTCAGGCTTAAACTCAATTGAACAACGTATAGCATTCTCTCTTGACTCCTATGCCCAACCTCCTGACATATGCCACAGGGCTTTCCTGATTCAGCCGGGCCTGACCTCTGGTGGGCAACGTTTGTAACACCATTTGTTAGGAATGGCCAAAATTACCATATGTTGGTATGGTAGCTCCCCACCTCACCCCCACTCCCCAACTTCTTTCCCCGTGAGTGAATCATTTCGTGCATATAATTCTGGACATCTTTTTAGTTGCTTCCTGTAGAACTAATCCTTCAAATGTCCTTACTGAACCTCGGCTTTGATGCATGAAGCTATTGTGTGGTCCTACTAACCTAAACTTTTCTGATCATACGAATCACCTGAGTGCTTGTTACTAAGGCAAACTTCTCGACCATCCCCATCCTGCTGTGAGCAGGAATGTCATTTTGATGCCCACAGTCCTAGACAACCCGCAATCACAAATTTGAAGGAAGACTACACGTCTGGAGTTTTTCCTTCTGCTCTGAACAATTCTGCATTTTTCCAGCCTATATAGACATCAAAAGTGTGTCCAAACAACCACCTCTTTCTCATGTTGTACAGGCATCTTAGTGGCCATCGTTTGTCCCAAGTAGTGCTTTTAGAAGAAAGGCTAGAGTCTGCTGGACCAGCCACTGGGGCCATCTGGCCCACTGACTTTGCTCCTCATCTACACTTAAACCTCCTGGATGGGCTTCATCCTGCGGGGCACACCCCTCCTGGCAGCTGGGAGCTCTGCTGTCCATCACAGGCCTGAGTTTCCTCAGAGATTCTATACTGCAACATGTTACCTCTGCTCAGAAGACTGCTAAGGACACATGACACCTACTTGCTCTTGTAGGCAGATCATTTTCTTCTTTTTTTCTTGAAATATCTTTAAAAAAAAAAAAAAACCTCCCTGAAAGGCACATTTTATTGCTATCATTTCTGCCTTATTTTCATATACTTTGCTTACTTATATTGCTTTTAACTGTTTTTCTTTTTTCATGTTTACCCCCTTTTGATTTTCAAACATTTATTTTTACCATCCTTTTTATTGTCTCTTAGTCTTAGGTTGAGATAAAATTTATTACTACTTATTTACTAACACTTATTTTTTATACATGTCTTCTTCTGATTTCTTTTGGCTTAGCTATTTACTGTTTTGCACTTGCTTTTGCCTTTCTCTCTTATTTGATAGCTGTCAATTCCTACTTCTTTGTGACTTTGAATTCTTCATACTTCACTTTCCTTATTCTTTGAGTATTTTATGCTTAAATTTCTCAACTCACCTTTGTATGTTACCTGTTTTTAACCCTTTTCCTCTTTTTATTCACATTTTATCTATAAGTTTTTGTTGTTGTTGTTGTTGTTGTTGTTGTTGTTTTTGAGACGGAGTTTCGCCCTTAGACCCAGACTGGAGTGAAGCAGCACGATCTTGGCTCACTGCAACCTCCGTCCCCCGGGTTCAAGCGATTCTCCTGCCTCAGCCTCCTGAGTAGCTGGGATTACAGGCACTTGCCACCATGCCCGGCTAATTTTTGTAGAGACGGGGCTTTGCCATGTTGGCCAGGCTGCTCTCAAACTCCTGACCTCAGGCGATCCACCCACCTCTGCCTCCCAAAGTGCTAGGATCACAGGCATGAGCCACCGCACCCACCCTATCTATAAGTTTTTAATCTATACTTAAGTTCTTTTTTACTCTTAAGTTTTTGGTTTGTTTCATTGGTTTTATCTATTCCTTGCATGTTCTAATTATGCTTTAATCAGGTATGCTAATTATTTTTCATCATATTTTAAATTTTTTCTCCCTAATTTTAATTTTAATTTAGAGCTCATCCTGTTTAACTGCTTCCTTTTATGAATGGAGACATGGAGACTAGGAGAGAAATAACTTGCTCAAGAACTTGGGTTGGGGAGTTGTGGAATCTAAATAAGAAGCCGGCTCTTTTGATTACCAGTCTAGTGTTTTTTCTACTGAACTACTCCAATAATAATGACTGGATGAAGAATAATGACTCTTCTTTGAAATAAAGAAAACCTGAATAGCATCTCACCAAAGAGCATTTAGTCCCTAAGACATTAAAATCAAGGGTGTAAATGTCAGTGACAGCACCCTGGGAAAGGCTGTTCCTTGGCCTTTAACTAAAAGAAAAGGTGAAAATAAAGTGAAAAAGAGAAAGTTAAGAAGTGGGACATTATTCCTGAAATATATGGAAGAATAAAATCTTAAGTCAGAGCTTGATGACCCTAAACAAATCGCTCTCCAAGCATCTGTTTTCTTCTTTCTAAAGTAGGGGTAATGAGATCATTCCTGCCTGCCTCACAATTGTGCTGTGTTTCCAGATCAGATCTTTGTAAACTTCGTACATAGTTGTTCTTATAATATGCCCATAAAATCCAAGGGAAAGTTTAGAAAATACTTACGTAAAAAGAATATCATTGTTAGTTTTAAAACAAGCTTGTCCCACCTGCAGCCCCGAATGGCTTCGAATGCCGCCCAACACAAATTCATAAACTTTCTTAAAACATTATTTTTTTTTTTGCGATTTTTTTTTTAGCTCATCAGCTATCATTAGTGTATATTATGTGTGGCCCAAGACAATTATTCTTCCAATGTGGCCCAGGGAAGCCAAAAGATTGGACACCCCTGTTTAACTAATGTACAATATATATCTAGAGAGAAAAATAGATTATAGATATAGATATACACCCATACACTTGTTGCCTATGCCACTCTCAACACTCATAATCATACTGTCCCTTCTTCCCCTTTTTAAAAAGCCAAATTACTTTTTATTGGCTGTCTGTTGTTTGATGCATATTTCCATCTGGTACTTTTGTGTTTATATTCCTATTATATACATTTTGACCTGTATTGAACTGCTTCCTTAAGCTTTAATGGTTAAAAAAAAGCAATATATAAATCAATATATATAATCTATAAATCAATATAACTGTACCTCAATGAAAGAACACCCATCTTTAGACTCAAATTTAGCCTAACCTATCAAGTTTCTGTGGCAAAGCCATGGTTTCTTCCCTAACCTGTTTATTCGTCCTACATTCCCACTAACATTCCAACTATAGCCCTAGCGGGAGTTAACAATGACAATCAGACAAAACATTACCTTGTGCATCTGGCATTTGAGATGCTTTTCTATTTCATTACCCAATAAACTTTTCAAACAACAATCTTTCAGTGCTTTGGCATCTGGAGCAGTTATCTCCTTGTCAGAGCTGGCTCTGCAGTAGCAAATTAATGGATTATAATGCTACGTGAATTTTCACTTAGCAAGAAATCTGTAAGGACACTGCATGAGTTAGGTTGGGTGCTCTGTCAAGGGAACGAAAGATCAGGTATGCTTTAATGTTAGGGCTGTGTCCTGGCTGGGGCTATAATCACCACAGATGAACTAGAATAGAATGTCACTACAGATACTTACCTATGGGAACACTCAGAATTTTTTTTTTTTTTTTGAGACAGAGTCTCGCTCTGTCGCCCAGGCTGGAGTGCAGGGGCGCAATCTCAGCTCACTGCAAGCTCCGCCTCCCGGGTTCACGCCATTCTCCTGCCTCAGCTTCCCGAGTAGCTGGGACTACAGGCGCCTGCCACCACGCCGGACTAACTTTTTATATTTTTAGTAGAGATGGGGTTTCACCATGTTAGCCAGGATGGTCTCGATCTCCTGACCTCGTGATCCGCCCGCCTCGGCCTCCCAAAGTGCTGGGATTACAGGCGTGAGCCACTGCGCCCGGCCTAGAATATTTCTTTTTCTTTGCCCTTTAGCATAAAGCCACAGACCTACCCCCTTACCCTTGCTGTGTTCTTTTACTATCCTGAAAGCACAACATTGCATATCTACAAGGAACTTAGAGCGCTCAGAGACCACAGCCCCAAGTGGCCTTCATTTTTTTTTTTTTTTTTTTTTTTTTTTGAAACGGAGTTTCACTCTGTTGCCCAGGCTGGAGTGCAGTGGCACAGTCTCGGCTCACTGCAAGCTCCGCCTCCAGGGTTCACGCCATTCTCCTGCCTCAGCCTCCCGAGTAGCTGGGACTACAGGTGCCCACTACCACGCCTGGCTAATTTTTTTTTTTGTATTTTTAGTAGAGATGGGGTTTCACCGTATTAGCCAGGATAGTCTCCATCTCCTGACGTCGTGATCCGCCCGTCTCGGCATCCCAAAGTACTGGGATTACAGGCATGAGCCACCGCGCCTGGCCAATTTTTTACTCTAATTTGAATCACTGAAAAAAAGGAAAGGACTGCTTCCTCTCCCCACCATCCACCACAAAGTACTTGATCAAATCCACTTGCTCTGCTCCAACAGAGGAGGTGACTTTAAGGTGTAAGGGAGAGGGAAATTCTATTTTGTCTTACTTTTACTAGTCTTGCCACTGACTCTCAATGTCTCTGAAAAGAGCCAGAATGCCTGAGTCAACAACTTGTCCACCACCGAGTTGCACCATCTGCTTGTTACAGTACATTCCTGGAACTCCTCTGTGTCTGACAAACAGCTAACACAAGAATCGCTTCTCCCTGACACTGCTTCTTTTATTGGTGACCTATTGGTCAACAACATGGACCAACATTGTTTGTTAAACCTCAACAATAACCTCATGATCTTCGATCCCACTTTTTATGTCAACTTCATAAGCCTCCCTCAGCACCCTGCAAATCAGCAGTAACTGGTATAGAAGGCAGTGGTGGAAAATAGCACAAACACTATCTGAAAATGATTAACCCACAGACATTAAAGACACACAAACTCAGAAAGATGACCTGCAGAGCACTTGTGGTCATTTCGGCACATTTGATTGAAAAATGGTTAGAGGCCGGGCGTGGTGGTTCATGCCTGTAATCCCAGCACTTCGGGAGGCCGAGGCAGGCGGATCACGAGGTCAGGAGTTTGAAAAATGGTTAGACAGAGAATCTTAATAGATTTAATTTAAACTGAGATGACTCAAGTATTGCAAACAAAAATTTTCTGCATGAAGCAGCACCATTCAATTTAGATTGAACCGCCCTGTGATTACTTAATTAGGACAGTGTTTGCTGAAACACTGCCATAGATACACGTGTCAAAGGAATTTGCCACAGATTGTCAAACCTCCACGACATAATAGTACAAATCCAGGGGACTGACCACTCAGTAAGTGGCCCCTAGCTCCTTTAATGAAAACTGCCTTTATTGCCAAATATCATAAGCTCCAGGACAAAAAAAAAAAAAAAATAGTAGAGGTCGCCTGGCTAGTCACCCCAGAGGGTCACAGGACCCCATATTAATTTTTGGAGAGGATGTTAAATTAAGAACAAAGAATCATGGAAACAGAGCAGAAAAACAATAACAGCTGATATTTACAGGTAATTACTATGTGCTGGGCTTTGTCCTAAGCAATATATCCCCACTATCATATTTAATCCTCACAGCAATCCCATGAATCAGATGCTATCCCCATTTTGCAAGTGAGGACACTTAGAGATTATTTACTTTGTTTTACAGATAAAGAGCAGAGTGGTTAAGCAAGACTTTCCCATAATCAAATAGCCCAACCCTTGCAGAGGGAGGACAAAACCAGGTCTCTTGACCCTAGTCTAGTGCTCCAAACCCTCGTGAATATGAACTCCATTTTACAAGATGCTTTGGGTTCAGAAGAGATATAAAACCATTCTAAGAAGGGTACACTTCTTCCTTTCCAAAGCCATAGTCCACAAGGTAAGGGAGTCAACCAGAATCATCTGGCCTGGAAGAAGGAGTAACACAGCTGATCTTTTTCTCATGCTGTCTCTTAAACAAGCAAGGGTGCTGGGAAAGGGTATTCAGACATCTGAGCTTGGACTGAGGAATTGGACATCACTTGTATACAGACTTCATGGCGTACTGAGAAGAGCAAACTAATAGGAAGCTTCTTGTGAAGTAATGAAATAAAAACCTCATCATAACAGAAACCAGTGAAACAAGTCCAGAAAGTTCAAAGAGGATGGTGAATTGGAAACATACTCACCAAACCAAAAACAGAGATGACCTCTGAGGATGCATCTTGTCAAGGGGGCAACAGAGGTTCATTTTAGTTTTATCTGTACTTTATAAAATTTTCCCAGTGAGAATGGCCTCATGTATTTGTGTTTAATTTGCTATTAAAATGAAGTAAATATTTTGGAAAGGAGAAGTAATTAAAAGGTAGGAACGGCACCTACTCATATATAAGCTATTAGGTAGTTTTCCATCTGGTACCTGTAGCCCCACAGTGGGTCAGTGGAAAGCTGGAGTCACCACCCCTTTCCATGACAGTCGCAGAGACCAGGGTTGCTTCCTTTGCCTTGCACCTGGTGGACAGAGGTCTGCCTTTGGGATGTGCTCAAGAGGGCCCACAGAATCTATAGTCAACAATAATGTAGTGTACACTGAAAAATTTGTTAAGAGGATTGACCTCCTGTTAAGTGTTCTTACTACATTTTTTTTAAAAGAACATGATAAAATGCCAGCAGCTCTGTAATGGCACTAATCAAATAGTAATTTCTGTTTCAGAAGTTGGTCATTTATTTTGCCAGTCTTACGTTCAAATTAGATGAAGTTTAATATACTGTAAAATTCAATGTATTCTGTCCTTTTCAATAAATATGGCATGTGTGAAAATAACTAGAACGCTTAAAATGTTAAGCAATCTATTTTTTGTGTGTTTCTTATGTAAGTTATGGCCCAAGAGTTTAAACACAGGAATAGCAAACCTTTATTAAGCTGTGGCCCTTAATAAAGGCCACATTAATTGCTACATTAATTTTCTTCTATTAACTGTAATTGAGAGGAAGGCAAATCTTCCCCAATGAGTGTTGTAATTTGTGACTTAATTTTCAATAAAGCTACACTGAGACCATGGGGGAGAAAAAATTTTCTTGCTTCTCTTCCCATGTAATATGCCCTCTTTATATAGAACATTATAAGACTTAATTTCTTAATTTGGATTTGCATCATTTACCAGATCAGCCTTAGGTTTGTGTCTTCTGTGTATGTATGTATATAAGTATATATGCATTCATTCAGCAAGCCAGCAAGCCAGCCAGCCAGCATAAGACTCAGAAAATACTTTTATATCCGGAGATGCATGTTGTTCCTTAGAGTAAAGAAGAGTCAAGTCTTTTTATTTCCTTATTTTTCCCTTGCTGTAATCATCACTTCTCTTTATATTCTGTCTTTGCATTCTGCATCTATTATTGTATTATTCACATATTACAGCTCCTGGATTTCTCATTTTCTAAATGTTTTCACTTGTTTATTTTTATTTTGTCTATAAGATATAACCTCCCATTTAAGCCTTCAAAACATTAATAATTATTTAATTTTTATTAAAGTAGATTTACATACATTAAAATCACCAGATTGCTTTAAAAAGAGAGAAAGAGAGATCTCAGGGGCCTCTTATGTAAATCGGGTTTAGTCACCTTCTATTGTCTGAGTCTGTCCAGGTGACCACTAAGATAGCCAGAAGAATCCATGAATTCCTTAGTAATCCACCTACATAGTTCCAATGAATTGACTCAATTCTAGGTAAGTTTAAAATGAGGTGGGGCAGGGGGGAAGAAATAAAGGAAACAGGCCTATTTATTGGGGGCCACAGACAGAATTGGTATCAACAACCAGCTCCATGTTCTCCCCTCTTAGTTCCAGCACAGGACACTCTAAGGTTCTAGCAGGCTCCCCACTGCATGGATGTGGCTAGAGATACAGCTCATGATGCTCTCGGACCACAACTTCACCTCCCTGGACCCCTACCAAGGTTCGCTGCTGGGGGAACTCCAAGAGGTCAGTATAAGTCCCAGAGTGTCACCTACACGAAACAATATGCCAGCATCAGCAGGCTCTCCCAGAGACCCAACCTCCATTCTTTTTGGTGTCCTTTCTCTCTCCCCTTCCACCCAGTGCCCCACCCAACTCACATTCACACTACTGTCAGACAAGTTATCTTCTCTTTACCAAATCCTATCCCTCAAGTCTACACATCAAAGCTCACGCTTTAGTTGTTATTGGCTTATTTATCCCTAAGATCTACTCTAAGAAATCAGGATCTATCTAATTGGCCGGACCCAATGGCTCACATCTGTAATCCCAGCACTTTGGAAGGCCCACACCTGTAATCCCAGCATTTTGGGAGGCCGAGGCAGGCAGATCATGAGGTCAGGAGATTGAGACCATCGGTAAAACCCCATCTCTACTAAAACTATAAAAAATTAGCCAGGCATGGTGGCACATGCCTGTAGTCCTAGCTACTCGGGAGGCTGAGGCAGGAGAATCACTTGAACCTGGGAAGCGGAGATTGCAGTGAGCCCAGAGTGTGCCACTGTACTCTAGCCTGGGTGACAGAGCAAGACTCCATCTCAAAAAAAAAAAAGTAACAAAGAAAGAAAGAAAAAAGAAAAGAAATAAGGATCTAATTATTATTGGCCCAACTGGCTTACATTGCTTAGACTTACAAAGTTTAATTAAGGCTTGCATTTGAAACATTTTGTTGCCACTAATTTATCTTTATTCAAAAGCAGTGTCTTCTAAAACTGTATCATCTCAAGTGCACCACTTTAATGCATTCAATAAAGTCCTCATTTTATCTTTCCTCATGGAAAGATATCATAGGAATTCTTAGCGTATGAGTAGCTACATACAACAGGTAAATTTCTGTTTGGATTGTGGGTGAGACTGGGAAAAGAGGAAGATCTGGTGGAAAACATGTTCATGATTTTGTAGTTTAAACAATTGTCTATTTCCACCTATAATGATCAAGAATCCAGTTATTAATTGTTTTGTAATTCAGATAACAACAGTATATAAATGCATAGAGAGCCAAACATTCACTGTGGTGTGGATCACATGAAGGATAATCTTTATAACTGGCTTCCAGACAGTAACAAAGATAGTGATATATAGCAGAAAGATCTAAAGTCATACATGTGGGCTTATATGGAACTTTGACACTATCTAATCATGTGACATTGAACAAATCACTAAACTATTTTGAATACCAGTTTCCTCACCTACAAAATGAGAATAATACCTATTTCAGAGTATACTGTGAGAATCCCATGAGATAGCATTTATTATAAGTGTGAAAGTCTATAGAATTATTAGTGTTATGAGAATCATCATTAACATAACAACACACGAAAAACCATGGTTCTAGTAATTTGTTTCAGTGCAACTACACTGAATCTGAAAGACTTGGACTTTCAGGAATCTTTTACTGCATGTGGGAATACCCAAGTGAATGTGGATGGGAGAATCAAGATTTTTGTATTTCACATCACTTGTTCTTAATTCCCTGCTTAAAAGCTTCCTACTTTTGTTTGAAATAAGCCTACAGGCTCCCTTAAAAATAAATCCACATCTGCCAGGCCCGGTGGCTCATGCCTATAATCCCAGCACTTTGGGAGGCTGAGACAGAAGGATCACTTAAACCCAGGAGTTCATGACCAGCCTTGGCAACCTGGAAAGATCCCTTCTCTACAAAAAAAAAAAAAAAAAAAATAAGGTGTTTCACTGCCCAGGTGTGGTGGTGTGAGCCTGTAGTCCCAGCTACTCAGGAGGCTGAGATGGGAGGATTACTTGAGCATAGGAGTTCAAGGCTGCAGTGAGCCATGATTGTGCCATTGCACTCCAGCCTGGCTGTCAATCAGTCAATAATAAATAAATAAACCCACATCCCCCAAATTAGCAATAAAGCAAGAGTCCCCACATGAGGTGAGGTGGCTAGAACTACAGCACTAACTCAAGTCTCCAAAAATTCACCATCCTGACACTGGACCCTCGGCTTCTCCCTTTAGCCCTGTGGTGTGGGCATTGACTCATCTCTTAGTTCCCCCTGGAAGCTTTTCTAGAGGAATAGGGATAACAGAAGGAAAACACACTTAGTAAATAACATGGACTAGAAAATCTAGATTATAAGGTATGAATCGTTTCTAGAATCTATAGCCCTAGAGCCATCCTTGGAGGATTCCAGGGAAAGAGAACATGCTCAGACAATTCCTGCCTTTAAACACCCACCCCCCTCAGATTTTCTCCTTCTTTTTGTCTTAGGTTCACCTGTTCTGGGAGAATCCAAAATAATCAACTCACCATTCACTTATGGCTTTCATTTGCTCTGGCAACACAAATCTCCTGGTCTTGGATGGTAAAACCATCTGGATTGGGTACCAACTGCACCACCTCAGAAGGAGGGAGCAGCAGCCTCTCCAGTTTGTCACAAAGCCAACATCTCTCTCTTACTCTGTGAGGCTGAGGCCAAGTGTCAGCTGCCTTTCATCACCATATGTGTGCTGCTGTTTTACCCATAGTAAAGAGGAAAATGAGATGGAATGTCTCCAATGAAATTAGGAAAACAAAAGATAGACCAAGAAAAGCCTTGCATTTTAAGAATAAAAGCATATTTCTTTGAAAAAGCAGAGTATGTGTAGTCGTTTAATAAACAAAGCATATCTCTGTTGAAAGAATATAGTGTGTAGGCATTTTAATCCTTTATATTACCTGCCTGGCCTTGTAAAGCAATTAAGTTTGCCAACATTTTTGGAAAGTTCTATGAGCACAGGGGTTGTGTCTATTTCCTTCCCAGTTGTCACTACAGCCTACAAGAACTGGTACCTAGGAAGTGTTCAATAAATATTGGTGGCTGCTATGGTTGCCGTTAACTGCTCCAATATATTTCTGTCAATTTCCACTGTCAATTTCCCATTTCATCTCCCATAGGTTACCATTTGGGAAAATTTGAGGTGCTCTTAGCATAGGCTCTAAAACATGGATCCCCATTCCTATTAAATGTAAATTCCTGAAAGACAGGAATCTTATGTGATTGGTTCACTGCTATCTCTAGTCCTGGCACATAAAAGATAATCTATAAATATTTGTTGAAGGGCTGAATGGATAATCGCAGCTTTGCCAATGATTAGCCATAGAACTTTGGGACAGATCCTTAAATGTTGTCCCATGGTCTTCTCTGGGAAATAAGAGTACTATCTTACTCATACGGTGTTATGGGGATAAAATGACAATGCGTGTGAAGTTCTGAAGTATGGTAGGTGCTCAACAGTTTAGAAAGAGGTGGTAGGAATTTGGGTGTTGCTTACTTTCCATCTCCTGGCTCCTTGGTGAAGCTGCCACTGGCCTTGCTGGCTGTTTGTCTAAGTGTTGAAGATAACATCAGAATCTTTCACCGTTGGACAAATGCTATAGTGGGAGGATGCTGAGGTCCTATAGGCTCTTCCAAGGTTTGAAGTTGCTCATTAGTAACCCCTCAGTGGGAAGTCTGTACTAATTAATTGAATCTTCTTTCCCTTCTCTCACAGTAGGCAAGAGATTGTGTTTTAACTGCTTCCTGAGACAAATTCTGTCATTGATTAAAAAGGAAATAAATACTGTAGTTTCCAATATTTTGACCAGGGTCAGGGAATTCCTGAACCATCTTTTCTTCAGATCCATTTGCTTTTCCAGTGTTCTTATTGAAAACTTTTAAAATGAAGGTGCCCTTTAATGAAACGTAGCCTACATTTAGTACTAATAATAACAGCAGCAAATACTTATTACAGGCCTGGCACTGTTCCAAGCATTCAAGACACTTTACATGTACTAACTCATTTAACCCTTATCATCCTATGAAGGAGGCACTGTTAGGTGCCCTATTTTACAGATAAGGAAACTCTTATCAGAGAGATTTTTAATTAGCTAAACATGATGGAACTGGGATTGAAACCCAGACAAACTACTCCATTATAAAGTAGAAAGGGATTCTGGCAAATTTTGTATATTGCATAACTATGAATTAACCAACAAATGTAACACTCCCAGGAAACCCCTGAAGTCAATAAGTAAATCTTTTATGAGCACCTACTGTGTGTACCAGTAAGATCACAGGGGCTAAGAACACAACAGTGAGCATAATAGATAGAGACTATTCTTCAAAGAACTTATATTGTACTGGGGGTGGGGAGAACAAAAATAAACATGGAAACGAATAAGATGATCTCAGATACTAATAAATGCAATGAAAAAGTCACAGTAGGGTAATTATGATAGAAGTGACTGGAGAAAGGGTGCTGTCTTAAGCTAGGGTGGTCATAGAGGCCTCTCTAAAGGGCAAATATCTGAATTAAGACCTAAATTAAGACAATGAGGCATTCATCCTGGAAGAGTGTTCCAGACAGAGGGAAGCTAACTGGGTATGCAAAAGCAATGGGGAGTCTGCAGCAAGATGAACAAAGGTGAAGGTAGAAGGAGATATTAGAAAAGTAAGCAAGGAATCAAATCGCTCAGGCCTTGTAAAGTTAGGCATTTTGATTTATTCTCATTTATATAAAAAGCAAAGAACTGTAAGCAGGGAAGTGTTTCCTAATTTATTTTTTTCAACATCCTCTGACAATTATGAGGAAAATAAACTGAAGGGAAGCAAGAGTTGAGACAGGAGAGGAGTTAGAAGATTATTGCGATACTCAAGGCTTTTGAACTAAGGTGATGGTAAGATGTGGTCAGATTCAGGGTATATCTGGAAGGTACAGTGAACAGAACTTTTCTGAAGGTATAGTGGATTGGCTGTAGTACCTGATTTGGAATAATTGTTGGTGCCATTTAACAAACTAGAAAAAGCTTGTGAGGAAGCAGTTTCAGGATAGAAAATGGAGGGAGCAAGAGTTCTGTTTATTTATGATAAAATTGTGATTGTACCTACTAGACATTCAAGTAAAAATGTTCAGTAGGCAGTTGGTATCTAATCATCTAGCACTGGCAGGGAGATTAGTATTGAGCTCACAATTATCTACTTCCTTAGCCCATTGTCCTTCCCCTACATATTATTGCTGCATATGATGTACGAAAAACCAAAGAATGAAAAACAACAACATCTCAATTCTTCTATGAAGAAGCTGCACCAAGAAAAGTTAGATTCAATGCCATAAAGGTTTTCTGTTTGTTTTATCTTAGTTTGGTTTGATTTGGTCTTTTGTTTGTTCATGTTTGATTTGTAATTAATTAGGTTTCTTTCCCTAAAAGGCTTTTAAAAGTGGATCAAGGCTTCCACTCCTGGGAAGATGGAGTAGATATATTTTTCCCTATTTTTTCATCTAACTACAACTAAAAACCCTGGATGTTAATATAAAATAAATAGAAGAAGACTATGAAAGATGGAGAGTAGAAGTCTGACTAGACTCTCAAGACCTGAGGAACAGTGGTGAATTCCCTGCGTTTCCTTTTTGCCTCGTATATCCTAGGCTTTGAATTGAAGAATCCAGCAACCCGGAAATACTAATTGGGCATAGACAAAAAAATCCCCTCAAAACCTGCTCTCCCTAGCCAAAGGACAGGGAAAGGGAAAATTTAGCAAGGCTGAAAACTTCTAGCCATAACTGCTTTATTCCATCCAATCACCAAAGAAAATATGGTGGTTCTTCCCCTACCTATCAAAGACCAAGTAAGGAGCCTAAACTTCCACCCTCATGAGGCTGTAGCAAAGACACCCCAATATCTCTGCCAGGGTGGTGTCCAACAAGGGAGCCAGAACTTTCATCCTCATTCGGATAAGGCTCCCCTCCGATGATATCAGTGGAAACATTGTGGGGAGCCTGGGCTTCTACTCCCACTAAAAGTAACAAAGCACCCCTATGTCTCCCTCAAGAATGCTATCAGAGAAGGCCTAGTGGAGAGTCAGGAATTTCACCATTGTCCATCAGTACTCAGGCTATCCCCATTACAGTATCAGTGGAGGCCACGTGGGGAGCTGGAAGTCCCACCCTTGCCCAGCATTAATGAGGAACTTTCCCCTACCCTGGGTGTCAGTGGAGGCTGAATGGACAACCTGGACTTCTAACTAAACCTGGCAATAACAGACAAATCCACAATCATAGTTGTAGACTTCAACACCCTTATCTCAACAAGTGATAGAACAATTAGAACAAAGAAGTAAAAGAAATAAAAAATATTATCAATTAATGGGCTCTAATCATCGATAGAACATTCTACCCAACAAAAGCAGAATACATATTCTTTTCAGGTGCTCAGAGAGCATGAAGAACACAGAGGTAGAAGTGAAACACTGACTCCAGGTGGACCTTGAGAGAGCAAAGGGTGGCAAGGTCTCCTGGCAAGCTTCAGCAAGAGCCATTGCTGTATATATTGTATATATGATCTATATACAAAGATAAATCATATCCTGGGACATAAAACAAACCTCAACAAATTTAAAAGAACTGAAGTCATACAGAGTGCTCTCTCTGACTACAATGGAATCAAACGAGAAATCAACAACTAGAAAATCTCCAAACACTTGAAAATGAAACAACACACTTCTAAAATAATACATGGACCAGAGGAAGTCTCAAGGAAAATTTAAAAATACAGTAAACTGAATTAAAATTGAAATATAACATGTCAAAATGTGTGAAGCAGTGCTAAGTGGGAAAATTATAGCACCAAATGCATACACTAGAAAAGAGGAAAAGTCTCTATCACTTACTTAAGCTCCTATCTCAAGAACCTAGAAAAAGAGGTACAAAATAAACCTAAGCAAGCAGAAGGAACTAATAAAGACAAAAGCAAAAATCAATGACATTGAAAATAGAAAAACAATAGAGAAAATCAATGAAACAAAGAGCTAGTTCTTTGGAAAAAATTAATAAATTTACAAAATTCTAGAAAGACTGACAAAAAAAGAGAGAAGACACAAATTACCAGTATCAGGAATATAACAAAGTATATCACTACAGACCCTGCAGACATCAAAAGAATGATAACAGAATACTAGGAACAACCCTATATATAAGTTTGACAACATACACAAAATGCACCACTTCTCCTTTAAAAACAAAATACTGCAACTCATCCAATATGAAATAGATACTCTATTAGTCTTCTAACTATTAAAGAAAGTGAACCTGTAATTTAAAATCCACCAAAAAGAAATCTCCAGACTCAGATTGTTTCACTAGAGAATCCTACCAAACATCAATTTTATACAACCTCAAAAAATTAAAGAGAAGGGATGACTCCCAAATTCATTTTATGAAGCTAGTATTACCCTGATGCCAAACCAGACAGTTCTAAAAAAGAAAACTATATACCTCATGAATATGGTTGTAAAAATCCTTAACAAAATATTAGCAAATAGAAGTCAGCAATATATTAAAAGTATATATCATGAGCAAGTAGATCTTATTTCAGAGAAACAAGTCTGATTCAATATTTTAAAATCAATCAATGTAATTCACCATATCAACAGGTTAAAGAAGAAAAATCATGATCATATCAGTTGATGTGGAAAAAGCATTTAACAAAGTTCAAGTCTCATTCATGATTTGTAAAAAACTCTTAGAAAAAAAAAAAAGAAAAACCCTAAACTTGATAACGAACATCTACAAAAAACCTACAACTAACATTATACGTAGAAAGACTAAATGCTTTCCCCTAAGACTGGGAACAAGGCAAGAATGTCCACTGTCATCATCCGTACTCAACCTAAGTGCTAAATGTTGTAGCCAATATTACAAGGCGAGAAAAGGACATAAAAATCATATAGATCAGAAAGGACAAATAAAACTCTCCCTATTTTTGGATGACATGATTGTCTACATAAAAAATCCCAAGGAATCTATCAAAAACTTCTAGAACTAATAAGTGAGTTCAGCAAGGTTTCAGGGTACACAATGAACACATAAAAATGATTTTTACTTCTATATTCTAGCAGTGACTATGTGGATACCAAAATTAAAAACACAAAATCACTGAGAAAAATAAGAGTTAAGTGTGTAAACCTAACAAAACATGTACAAGACTTGGTATGTTGAAAATTTAAAAAACGATCAAAAAAATCAAAGGAGCAGGGCGCAGTGGTTCACCTGTAATCCCAGCACTTTGGGAGGTTAAGGCAGGCTGATCACTTGAGCTCAGGAGTTCAAAACTAGTCTGGGCAACATGGCAAAATCATGTGTTTCGACAAAAGAATACAAAAATTATCCAGGTGTGGTAATGCGCACTTGTGGTCCCAGCTACTCGGAAGGCTGAGGTGGAAGGATGGCTTGAGCCTGGGAGACAAGAGGCTGCAGTGAGCCCAGATCATGCTACTGCACTCCAGCCTGGAGACAGAACCAGACCCTGTCACAAAAGTGAAAGAAAAACAGGAAAAAGGAAAGGAAAGGGAAAAGAAATCAAAGATCTAAATAAATGAAGAGTATGTTCATGGTTTGGAAGACTCAACACAGTAAAGATGTCAATTCTCCCCAAATTGATATACAGGTTTAATGCAATTCCTATCAAAATCCCAGCAAAACGTTTTGTAGATACATACAAGTTGTCTAAAATTTATAAAGGTAAAAAAAAAACTTTTTCAGAAAAAAAGGAATAAAGTGAGAGAAATCAGCCTACCACATTTCAAGACTTATTATATATAGCTACAATAATTAAGACTCTTGGTATTGGCAGAGGGATAGACACATAGATCAATGGAACAGAAAAGAGAAACCAGAAATAGACTCACATAAATAATGCCTAGCTGATTTTAGCAAAAGTACAAAAGCAATTCAGTGAAGGAAAGAGAGCCTGTTCAACAAATGGTGCTGCAGCAACTGGACATCCACAGGCAAAAAGCGAACCTCAACCCAGTTCTCATACCTCATATTTTAAAGAACTCAAAATGAATCATAGACTTACATATAAAATATAAAACTATAATAGGCTGGGCGCGGTGGCTCACGCCTGTAATCCCAGCACTTTGGGAGGCCAAAGCGGGCAGATCACGAGGTCAGGAGTTCAAGACCAGCCTGATCAACATAGTGAAACCCCATCTCTATTAAAAACACCAAAAAAAAAAAAATTAACCAGGAGTGATGACAGGTGCCTATAATCCCAGCTACTTGGAAGGCTGAGGCAGGGAGAATCGCTTGAACCTGGAGGGCGGAGGTTGGGTTGCAGTGAGCCGAGATCGCGCCACTGCACTCTAGCCCGGGTGACAGAGCAAGACCCAGTCAAAAAAAAGAGAAGAGAAGAGAAGCGAAGCAAAGCAAAGCATAACTTAGGAGAAAAATCTTCATAAACTAGGGCCAGGCAAAAAGTTCTTAAATCTGATACCAAAAGCAAAATCCATAAAAAGAAAAATTTATAAATTGGACTTCATCAAAATTAAAATTGTTTACGTGGTGAAAGATCCTCCTAAAAGGAGGAAAAGACAAGCTATGGAGTGAAAGAAAATACTTGCCAACCACATATCCAACAAAAAACTAGTATCTAAAATATATAAAGAACTGTTAAAACTAAAAAATACACACACACACGCACAAACCCCAAATAACAACAAAAAATTCAATTAACAAATAATCAAAAGACATTTCACCAGAGAGAATATACAGATGTCAAATAAGCAAATAAAAATATGTCCAACATCACTGGCCATTAAAGAAATGCAAATTAAAACCACAATAAGATATCACTACATACATTTCAGAATGACTAAAATAAAAAATAATGAAAATCAAATGTTGGCTGGGCATGGCAGCATGCACCTGTAATCCCAGCCAGAAAAACTGAATCATTCATTTATTGCTGGTGGGAAAATGGGACAGCCATTTTAGAAACAGTATGGCAATTTCTTAAAAAACTCAACAAGCAACTACCACATATAACCCAACAATTGCATTTATCCCAAAGAAAAGATTTATATTCACACGCAGAGTTTTTTATACAAATACTTACATTAGCTTTATTTCTAATAGCAAAAAAATGGAAACAACCCAGATGTCCTTCAAAGGTAAAAGGATAAACTGTGATCTATCCATACCATTGAATATTACTCAGTAATAAAAAGGAACAAGCTAACGATATGCACAACAAGTTGGATGCATCTCGAAGGAATTTCACTGAGTGAAAACAGCCAATCTCTAAGGTTACATACTGTGATCCTTAACTGTATGTGTCAACTTGACTGAACCATGGTGTCCAGATATTTGTCAAACATTATTCTGGATGTTTCTGTAAAGATGTTTTTAGATGATATTTACATTTAAGCCAGTGAATTTTGAGGAAATCAGATTATCCTCTATAATGTGAGTGGGCCGCATCCAATCCATTGAAAGCCTAATAGAATAAAAGGATGACATCCCTGAGCAAGAAGGAATTTTCTAGCAGACTGCCTCTGGACTTTGTGTACAACATCTGCTCTTCCTGGTTTTCCAGCAGACTGCCTTTAGACTCAAATGCAAGTCTTTCTTGAGTCTCCAGCCTACCAGCTTCTCCCATCAGATATTGAACTCACCAAGCCTCCATAACTATGTCAGCAATTCCTTAAAGTAAGTCTCTCCATATATACACACATTATATTGCTTCTATTTCTCTGGAGAACTCTAATACATATACTATATGATTCTATTTATATAATATTCTTGCAATGACAGAGTTATAGACATGTAATAGATTGGTGATTGCCAAGATTTAAGAATGAGTAAGGGTAAGAGGGATTCAGTGGGGCTATAAATGGGCAACATGAGGTATCCTCGTGGTGATAGGAATGTTCTGTAACTTGACTATTGGGGTTAATATCCTCATTGTGATATTGTACTATAGTCTTGTAAGATGTTACCATTGGAGAAAATTGGGTAAAGGATACATGGGCTGTGTTATTTCTTAGAACTGCATGTGAATCTACAATTATCTCAAAAACTCTGATTTTTTTTTTTTTTTTTTGAGACAGGGTCTCACTCTATTCTCTAGGCTGGAGTGCAGTGGCACAATCATAGCTCACTGTAACCTCAAAATCCTGGGCCTAAGTGATCCTCTCACCTCAGCCTCCCAAGTAGCTGGGACTACAGGCGTGCACCATCATGCCCGGATAATTTTTTTAATATTTTTAGAGAGACAGGGTCTCACTACGTTTCCTTAGGCTGGTCTTGAACTCTTGGCCTCAAGCAATCCTCTCACCTTGGCCTCCCAAACTGCCTGGATTATAGGCATGAGCCACTATGCCTGGCAAAAAGTTTAAGTTTTTAAAGTAAAACAAAATATATCTGTTTTCATTATTTTATAGTGGCCTTCTCTGAAGTCTAGAAGATAAACTTGGATTGCTACTCAGATGATTAAAGAATTCTACACCCATACTATTAAATAGCATCGTCACAGTCATCCCAGTTTAACAAGTAAGAAAACTATCTATCGGCTGGGAGCGGTGGCTCACGCCTGTAATCCTAACACTTTGGGAGGCCAAGGCAGGTGGATTGCCTGAGCTCAGAAGTTCAAGACCAGCCTGGGCAACACAGTGAAACCCCGTCTCTACTAAAATACAAAAAAATTAGCTGGGCATGGCAACATGCACCTATAATCCCAGCTACTCGGGAGGCTGAGGCAGGAGAATTGCTAGAACCTGGGAGGCAGAGTTTTTTTATGAGAACATAAAAAACTCTGTGTGTGAGCCCAGATTGCACCACTGTACTCCAGCCTGGGTGACAAAGCGAGACTCCATCTCTTAAAAAAAAAAAAAGAAAAAAAAAAAACTACCTATCAACCCGAGTTATCTCTTTCCATCCTCTCCCAAAAGCAATTATCAGCAAGTCCTATCTGCTTTACACACCAAAATATATCTTGAATGTACACTTCTCTTTCTCTGGTATCACTATTAGCCTTGGTGGTCAATAGCAAGCATGAATTGTTGCAATTGTACCTCTCCTCTTCCACAAATGCTCCCATCCAATCCACCCCTCACTCAATGGCATGAGTAATCTTAAGACATATATTGGATCATATCACTCCCATTCTTAGTTCTCTCTGGTGACTTCCCATTGCCCTTCACCTGAATCCCAAATTATTCCTATAGCCTACAAAGCCTTGAGGTCTCAACCAAAAAGGCACCCCTACACAGAACACTTTTCTGAGCACCTTTTCTAAAATGGGTGCCCCCTGTTCTCTTCCCCAGCACTTTTAGTTTCTTTCATACAATGTAAGCCCCACAAGATCAGAGACTCTACTCTGTTTTGTTCACTGTTATAACCGGTGCTTAGCAAAATGTTCAGCAAATACTACATTTACTGAATGTTAAATCAATAAATGTCCAAATCCCAGCCTGAGATACCCCTTCCTCCAACACAAGAAAGCATGTGACAACCCTTTTGGACTTAATTTATTAAATAAATACTTGTTGAGTGCCTGCTATGTACCAGGCAGCATTTTAGGCACTGGGGATAACAACAAGGTCTCCACATTCGTGGAATTTAGCTTTGGCAGGAAAGTGGCAAACAACAATAGACAAGCAAATAATAAAATTTCAAGCATAAGCATTAAGAAGAAAATAAAGCAGAGTAACTGGCCCAGGGATGAGTTGGAGAAAGTAGGTGGTATCTATCTTAAGAAGCCTGGTTAGGGAATCCTCACTAAGCCGTCATCTGAATGAAGAGAAGGAGCCAGCTACATACAAATCTAGGGAGAAGGGCTATAGGCAGAAGCTCATTGAGGACAAAGGTGCTGAACATGGAACATATTAGACAAGTCTGAGGCCAGTGTGGCTGGGCCCACGGAAGGGGAGAAGGTCTCAGAGCCACCCAGGGCCTATGTCAAGTCAACCTCTTGGGCTGTGGTGAGAAACGTGGGTTTCTTGCTAAGGGTGATTGGGAAGCCTTTGGAGACTTTTAAGCAGGAGTGTATTATGATCTAACTTTAAAAATATATCTTAACTACTGTGTCAAGAAGGTACTGCAGGGTAAGATGGGAGCAGGGAAGTCAGGTAGGAGGCTGTGAAGACATGTGGAAGAGATGCAGACCACAGAGATATCTAGGGAGAGGGTGTGGAGAGGCGAGAAGAGGATGTAAAGAGTTTGCCCTCTTTTTTGGCAAGCTACAATGGGGAAAAATTTGGCTCAAAAATCTTAAAATACACTGACTGTCCTTCAGGGACTGGGACCTTCCGATATTCTCTTGTACTCCTGGCTTGGCCAAGTTTGACCTCATTTAATTTGTTCCCAGGAGATGCCTTTGCACTTAACCACATCTGACCCAACTGGAGAGGAATGCAGCATGCTGAAATAGCTGGTTTATCTCTCCACTCTCCCCTCCTCATTTATGGAAGAAGAAAAAAAAACTAATTTTACTGAAGGAAAGGATGACAATGAAAAAAGGGGAGAGGGAGGGCGGACTCTTTTCAGTCCTGTCACCACCTAGAACTTCTGGCATCCACCAAGATTACATTAATCAGCGAAGTAATCCGAATGTGACCTAGAGGGCTTAAAAGTATGAAGCCTAAAGAACAACCACACAGAACTGGTTTCGCCCTGCCCAGTGGAAATCTCCGGGTGATTGCAGGCACTGGTGCACGTTATTGAATAGCGCCCACTCCAATGGCAAAGTGCGAAAAGACTGACTTCACCACAGCCAGGAGTGCAACGACCTGCAGCTCCTCGGTGGGCGCCAAGACACGCTCTCCTGAAAGGCTGGAATCGCTTATCAGTTCTCCGCGGGCAAAAGCAATCAGAGCATCAATGTAAATGAATCGCACCCCCTCCCCGCACGGAGATAAAGTTTTAGCATATCCCAGATGGTGCAGAGATTACTCATTCATTTCTGAGAAAGAGCAGAACCACAGAGGCCTTGGCTGAACCTGAGGAAACTGATCAGGGTGCCCCGAAGGCCCGCTAGTGAATGGCGGGTCGCGCTCCCAATGGGAGAAGAGAATGGTTTCCTGCCGCCGTGCTCCGCGCCGGCAGGCCGGGGCTGAGCACAAGAAGTTAAAGGCTCACTGGCCGCCCGCGCACTCAAGGCAAATTCCGTTTCTGAAAAGGCAGGTTCAAAAGACAAAGGTTGGTAAACCACACCGGTATCATTTACGACGCGGCACAGAGACGCTTTCCTGCAGAATGTCATGTCACTGGCAAATGCCATGGAACCGCTCCTGACTGTGGACCGCTCTGGCAATGGGGCGTGCTCATCACCAGCCAAAACTGATGCGGAAAGTCAGCGTGGCTAACTGGGCGCTTTAAAGTCTGACTTCAAAGCTGCTCCCCAAAGCTTGGCACTATGACACAGAGCACCTCATGTTATGACTAAACGAGTTAATCCATGTCAAGTGCTGAGAGCAGCACCTGGCACCCGGCAAGACCTCAGTAAAGATTAACCATCATTACTATTAATATTTGCTCACGCTTTTCCACTATGAAATTATTGTATTGTGTCTGCATTACATATGTCTCATCTTATATGTTATAAACACCTAGAAAGAGGAGGCTGTGACTTATTTATCTCAGTCATCTCGGAGCATGGAACTGTGCTGGACTCAGTAAAAGTTTGTAGTTTGATTGAATTACCTTCTCAAACCAAACATTTCAGGTGTGTCACCTTGCAGAGGTGACAGAAATGAAAACAGGGTGGCAAAATAAAAAGGTGAAATCTGAATCTCCTCTAATCCTTCATTTTCTCACCCTGTTTCTTCATAACACCCCTCATTGTGTTGCTGCTTGTTACATTTTTGTTCCGCTGGGAACTGGTTCCATTTGAGCCTCAGTGCAATCTGTGGCCCCAGTTGCCACACACACTTAAAGCTCAATAAATTTGATATCTCCTGAACCCCCACAGGGTTTGGATATCATAAGGGATACTTAGGCCCAAGATCAAGCCATATGAGCAGGTTTATTTGAGAACTCTACGTTAAAGCCTCCAGCAAGTGCTTCTTGACATATATGAAGCAATAATAATAACAACCGCTATTTGCTAAGTACTTATTATATGTTGAGATATGCCAAACACTTTCACATATTATCTCATTTAATCCACTCAACAAAACAAAATGTGTGTTATTTCTATTTTATCAGGCAAAAATAAAAAACTAATCAGAGAAAAGTCACAGTGAGCCACTTGCTTAAGGTTATACTCCCCAGTAAAATGTTGAGATTCAAACCCAAGTCCCTAACAATCCAAAGCTCATCCAGGTAACCATTCAAGTCAACAATGGTCTCCGGCCACACAGCTCAGCTCTAAACAGAAACACCACAGCACTAATTATCTGTGGAGCAGAGTGCAGTGTGCCTCCCATGCTCCACAGCACAGCACGGCAGCTCAGCATATCTCATCTTCTACAAAAGACTCCAAAGATTTCTCTTTTCACCAGCTCCCAATTACTGCCACATAACACATGCCTTGAAATGTGATTGCCTCTGGTTTGTAACTTATGCCTAAGGGACCTGCTCCCATTTTCTTTCCTAGTGGAACAAAGGTATTGAAGCCACAGGTTGCTGAGGCAAAGCACTTATTGATTAGATTCCCATCAATATTCAGCTGCCGCTGAGAAGATTAGACTTGGACTCTCAGGTCTGGGTAGCCCAACTCCTCCCTCTCCTTGCTCCTCCTCCTGCAATGCATAACTAGGCCTAGGCAGAGCTGCGAATAAACAGGCAGGAGCTAGTCAGGTGCATGTGCCACACTCACACAAGACCTGGAATTGACAGGACTCCCAACTAGTACAATGACAGAAGATAAGGTAAAGCAGCATTATATTCATTTCAAGTCTGGTTTTCAGGAGATAGTTAGGGGAATACAGTCAAGTCATACAGAGGATTTGGGGGAGGTTGGGTGTAGCTACCACAGATCAAAATTAATTCTCTTTACTTTGCCAATTGAAGAACTGTTTCTTATTCAGTAATTGGGGTTTTAAGGATTTTTGCTCTGTTAACTGACTAGTCTGCATAAGTTTTTTCAAGTAATTGTGCATAACCATATTACTAAAGAAATATGTCCCCTCCTAACCAAAAAAAAAAAAAAAAAAAAGGGGGCAGATTGACCTAAATTTAATCATGAAAACTCATCGGGAATCTTCAAAAACGTCAATGCAGGAGAGACAAAAGAGGTAGAAGGGTTGTTCTCTAGATTAAAAGGGATTAAGACAAACTGACAACCAAATGCAACAAATGATTTAGATTGTGGAAGGAAGAAAAAAATAGCAATAAGGGAACTATGGAGACGTTGGGAAATTTTAAATATGGGCTGCATCTTAAATAATATTACTGTATCAATTTCACACTCTTGGATATAATAATGGTATCTAATTATGTAGGAGGATGTCTTTGTTCTTTGTACATGCTAAAGTATTTAGGGGTGAAATGACACAAATATCTACAGCTTATTTGTAAATGGTTCAGCCAAAACAACACACACACACAAACACTACAGAGCGAGAGATCAACAAATTGGTGAATGTTAACCAGTGGTGAATAAAGGCGAAGGTTATGGAATGATCACTTCACTACTGTTTCAACTTCTCTCTAGATATGATACTTTAAAAAAAAACTTAAAAATATAAAGGATATAGTGTCCTTGCTCCCTTATACGTGGTTTCTAAACTCACCCACCCCTGTACACACAATCATATAAGTTGATCAATCTGTGCCCTGTAGGGTCTCACCTTTAAGTTCTCATCTGGTGCAACTTACTCTGCTGAACATTCCTTCATGTCATTAGATGGCATGGTTAGCTGCACTGGCTTTGGAGTCAGCCAGACTTGGATCTGGGTTCTAGCAATGCCACTAAACTGCTGTGAGGCCTGGGTTAAGTTATTTAACTGAGCTTTGGGTTTTCTCTATTGTGAGAAAACAAAAACATATTAGGATACAATATACCCTTTATAGGCAAAGAAACTTGGGCTCAGTGATATAATATGGGATATTCAGGGATTATACTAGTACTTTAGAGTTAGGGAGTAATTAAATGAGATTATATTAGAGAGGCTTAGACAACAATTTTAATGTTAATAGTTATATAATTATTAATAGTGTTAAATACATATTTAAATAGTATTTATAAATTATAAAAGATAAATTATATTATAATGTATAAACACTTTAAATACATATTATATAAGCACCATTTATATGTTTGATATTTAAAGTTAAATATAAAATGCTATTTATATAGCATTTATATAGTATGTATTTAAAGAATAATTAGCACATCATGATTTCATGAGTATTATAGCCCAGGATAAAGCTAAAGTAGTTAGAACTTTAAGGTCAATATAAAGACAAACATTAAGTTAACAACTACATAGATGGTATGTAGATTTGGCAAAATTCATGAAGGTAGTAATCAAATAACTAAAGTTTGAAAGCTACTGCAAAAAGGAAGGTAATGTGCTTAACATAGTGTCTGGCACATCGCAGATGTTCAAGATTCATTCAAAACTATCATTAATTTTCTTAGGGGCTTTTGAAATTACGTTGTAGATCTTTTCTTGATAACCAAGGAACTGCCTAACAATGGAACCCAGAAAGAATGAGAACTGAGGTAGTGCAATGTTTTTCAGCTTTGTGAATCTATCCAGACTTTGAAAGAAGTAGGATAAGCAAGGAACTGGGGTCAAGAGACCTGAGTTGTCACACTGAATATGCCCAAAATGCTCACAGAAATCAGACAAATGACATAAACAACTTGGCCTGTGAGACCTCAGTTTCTACAACTGAAGAATGGAGGAATTAGACAAGAATCCATTGTTCTCTAAGGTCTCTTTCAACTTAAAAATTCTGTGACTTGATAAGCCCCTGGCTTTTTCCAAAGTTGCATGCAAGATCACCTTTGGTTTAGGTTTTGGAGACATGTAGTTTAAAGAAAAGGGTATAAGCTTCTCCTCCCTACCTAGTCAATCAGTAATTGCTGGAAAAATCTGCTCTTCAGGTTAGCAGTGGCGTTTAAGACCATCAGCTCTCGGTTCCCACACTAGAGTATCTGTCACCAGCTGTGTAGTGTTAGGTATGCTCCTTAATCCTCTCTGATCCCTGGCTTCCTCACCTCTAAAATAGGAATAATTTCATGTACTTTGTGGTATTGCAAAGAGTATCGGTAAAGTATGAAAAGTTGACACATGGCTGTTTGACAAAAGAAATGAATGAGATGATAAAGACATGATTAAAGATGCATTTGTTCTGTAGCCCTTTTACTGTTTATAGGAAGACCACATTATTTATCTTAGTTTTTACAGTAATCCTATGCATTAACTAGTTTTATACCCATTTTATAGGCAAAGAAACTTAGGCTCAGTGACGTTAGGAGCCTAGCTGGGACTCTTTTGGAGCTTTTCTGACTCCCACATCTATTTGTTTTTTTCTAATAGACCCTATATGACTTATGAGCCACAATATAAACACTACATTGTTTTATGTTGAAGTTCAGCCATTTGCTTATTCTACCCTTCCACATTTATCCAGCAGCATATTTTAAATTGGATATGAAATCTAGTTTCTCTAACTTAAAGTTATTAAGCTCCTAATGAAGGTAGCATTTTTTAAAGTGCAAGCTGAACACCTTATAGCCTATGAGGAAGTTAGGAGAAAAGGCTTGAAGATCTTCTGCACTTACTAGGTTATGTGGACTTTGGACAAGCTGTTTACTCTTTCCATGTGAGCTCCCCCATATGTGAAATGATAATAATAATTCCTACCTACTGGGTTGTTGAGAAAACAGGCAAACCATCTAGAACCTCAGAACTTGGACAGGTTAAGATCCTCTCTAATTTCTTGCTATTTTCAGTAGCACTTATGTACTTCTTCTTGTGTCAACTTCTTGGACATTAGAGTGGATGAATGAAGGTTGACGGGGCTTATTAAGACTTGGTCGTGTTCAGAAATTTCCCCTTAGAAACAAAACCTCCTTTGACCAAGTCTAGAGCCAAGCCACATACAAGGCTGACTATAAACATTACTTCTTTTCATTTCACAACATTGGAGAAAGAAAAGATGAAGGAGTGGGAGCCATTTTAACATGGAGTTCAGAGAGGGCAATTAAACCTGAAAATAAAAGATAAAGAAAAAGAAAGCAAAAGGAAATGCCATTAAACAGTTTCAGAGATTTTGATATTTGGGATAATCACTTTTGTTGGAAATTCTCAGAAATTCAAATGACCTGCTTAAAATGGATGAGATTGCTCCTTATCTGACCAACCTGGTAAAATTCTATCTTGAGGAGTTAAAATAAGGAACTGCAGGCCCTGGGGTGGCAGGACCACAGTCAACCCTCAAAAAGAAACCAGGAAGGCCAGAGGATAAGGACTTTAATAACACGCTAAGATTTCTAAATGTTTAAAAACTCTCCTATCTCCTTCATAGTTGCTATTTTTGTTATTCTAATAAAATGAGAAACTGATCTTAGAGGCAGCTCCAGAATTTCTATACTATAGAACAATTTGATTGGAAAGAAATAGGATGGGAGATCCAGCATCTTTAAAAATTAGCTTTCATTTTTGTCAAAGTAATGTGGGACTTTGTGACTTAGGCTGTGTATGTAAAGTGACAGGGGTGAACTAATGGAGACGACAGGGGAGTACATGTGCTGCAGCTATCGCTATCACCCCAACTTCAATTTCTGTGTCGCCCCTGCTCACCATTAGCATGGCTACTGATTGGACTCTTAAAATAAGGAGAAATAAATTATATGTTTGTATGGTAGAGGGACAGGGAGAGAACCCCCAGAGAACAGAAATCCAGGGATGAAGCAGGAGGTGACAGTCACTAATAAACCAAGTGCCACAGAAGAAAAGAAAATGCAGGGATGAGACTGGGAAAGTATATTGTGGTCTTGGGCTTGGTGGTGGGAAGACCCTGAGGTTCCTCTTCAGCTCAGCTACCGATGAGCAATTGAGTAGGCTTTGCCTTTTTGGACTTTTGTCCAGAGACCTCACCAAAAGTTTCTACTGGTAAGTGGGGGAAAAGGGATTTGTGTGGTAGGTGGTGGGAAAATGTGGTTGAGATTTCTGTGTGTTTGAAGCCAAACAGCTAAACACCCACAAGTGGTAAATTCTGTGGATATGTATGCTCTTAGCTTTTTTAATTTATAAAGATTATGGTCCTAGATTTTTCAGATGTGCTTCGCTTTTGAATGTCTGTATCTGACTAATGAGGGATGCAAAATAACCAAGAAGTTAAAAGCGTAAGATCTGGAACCAAGTCATTGTTCTTTAATTTACTAACTGTGAGATGTTAAACTAATCTAGTTATCTATAAAATGGGGACATTAATGGTGCTGCCATGAAGAATGTGGTAGACAGAATAATCGTCCTCCAAAGAAGTCCACAGCTGCATTGCCAGAACCTGGGAATATCTTGCCTTATGTGGCAAAAGACTTTACAGATGAGATTAAGGTAATAGACCTAGAGATGAGATTTTCCTGGATTACCCTGATGGGTCAAATCTAATCCTATGAATTCTCAAAAGGGAAGAACTTTCCCAGCTACTTGTCAGTGCCAGAGAGATGTAACATGAGAAGGACCTGACCTGCCCATTACTGGCTATAAAGAGGAAAGAAAGATACCAGTAGCCAAGGAAATTTGGTGGCATCTAGAGCTGGGAATGGCCCTTAATTTATAACCAGGGCAAAACGACAGACTTTAGACCTATAACCAAGAGGAACTGAATTCCATCATCAACCCAAATTTTCTCCAACAGCCTCCAGAAAGGAACACAGCCTACCAACAACCTGATTTTAGTCCAGTGATACTTATACCAGACTTCCCATCTATAGATGTTGTTGTAGAGATGGGGATCTCGCTATGCTGCCCAGGCTGGTCATGAACTCTTGGCCTCAATTAATCCTCCAGCCTCAGCCTCCCAAACGCTGGGACTATAGGCATGAGCTGCCATGCTTGGCTATACTTTAAGATAAATAAATTTGTGTTGTTTAAGCTGCTGCACTGGTGGTAATTTGTTACGGCAGCAATAGAAAACTAATTTAAGAAGTAAATGAGATAATCCACATAGTGAACAGGCATGCAGTAAGCATAAGTAGTATTAGGCTTTGAATCTGTTTGTGTTGCATCTCACATGAGATTGTCCTGGTTTCAGTGATGGAGAGTATGAGGGAAGTGGGTTAAAGCCCTCCCAGGGTACTCCTTATCCCATCACTTCTGACAATGGCTACCACCTGTAAAAAGGATGAAAATCCCTATCCTTGGAAATAGCTTGAGGGGAAAAAGGATTTGAGGAGAAACCACCAACTAAGTAAATAAAATTCCATCTTAGATTTGGCTATCTAAGCCACTGAGTTTTAGATGTCGAGTTACATTTTAGATTTTAAATTCAAAATCTTTCATACTCACATAGACCATATATCATATAGTGTGTGTATGCATTTTATGTATAATATATATAATTCACGTGTAATAAACATAAAATGTTAATATATCTTATATGTAAGATATAAATGATATATATAAGTGATAAATATCAGATGTAAATGATATATAAATATATAAAATAAATATATATATTTTGAGACAGGGTCTTGCTTTGTCACCCAGGCTGGAGTATGGTGGTGCAATCATAGCTCACTGCAGCAGCAACCTCCTGGGCTCAAGCAATCCTCCCACCTCAGCCTCCTGAGTAGCTGGGACTACAGGCATACACCACCATGCCCTGCTAATCTTTGTATTTTTTTGTAGAGACAAGGTCTTGCTATGCTACCCAGGCTGGTCTCGAACTCTTAGGCTCAAGCCATCTGCCCACCTCAGTCCCTCAAAGTGGTGGGATTACAGGTGTGAGCCACTATGCCTGGCCAATTTATATCTAATAAACATATTATGCAATATTATATATCACATATATATTATTCTTTTGGGCAATATATATGTATCATATAACCATGTCTTTTGGGTCAACTTTGAAGTCCTTTCTTTCAGAGAAAGAAGTGTTAGGAGGGAAAGTCTGACAGATACCCCCTATATTAGTGAAAGGGGTGGAAGCTTTGTAAACCTACAGATTCCCTATCCCCACCCCAGAGATTCTAATCCAGTAGAAGATCTGGGGCTGTCTCCAAGAAGCTACATGTGTAACAGGCTCTCCAAGTAGGGTCTGGTTTTAGAACCACTGGACTAAATAATTTCAAGGGCTCCCAGGATGGTTCTGTGACAATACTTTGTGAAATTTCTGATCTCTAGCTTTTCAGGGTAATGAAGGGTTCTGGCTAATTTGCTATTCTTTATACTGGGGCTTTACACCAGGGTAGGGAGATTTACTATCACCCCACAATTTAGAGAAAAACTGCTCCTATAAGGGAAGTGGCTTGGGTCACATACCTACTAAGAGAGTGAGAACTGGAATCCATGTTGATGTGACTCATTCATTTACACAACAAAGTTCCTACTATATCCCAAGCTTTTTAAAAATTTATGTAAATGTACATGAAATATCTTCCTTATGAAATGTCTAATCATATGAATACAAGAAAAAATTTCCTTCACTCTCCTTCTCCAACCTCACATTCCTCCTCAAGGACCATCAACTCATTTGTTCTTCAAGAAAACATTCTATAAATTATATACGTCATGCACAAATCAAATAACTGTTTGATTTTTTAAATCAAACAAACTCATGTTTAAGCCTTTAAAAACATTAGATTACATAACTTCCTTCGCCACTTAAAAATAAGTCAGTACACATGATCATATTATTCCTTTTAACTGCTGCATAGCATATTACATGTATCTGATGTATGTATTATGATGTATCTGAATCTATTTGACTATTTCCCATTGAACGATATTTGGGTTCTTTCTACAATTTTGCTATCACATGCACAAAAAAATGCTAAACTAAGTATCCGTATGCATGATGTGATTTCTCTAAGATAGTTAGACATGTAAATATGAGTTCAAGGGGATGAATGTTCTGCCCCTTTTCTACACAGTTTCATTGTAACTACATGGAGTTGGGGAGTTGGGGAGAAAATAATGGCCCTTATCCTACAACTCTAGGCTGAACTAGATGCAAATCCTGAAAAGTACCCTTCCCTGGATGTTGATGCGGAACATGATAAAGGCTAGCTAATGCCTCTTATATGAGTATTTTTGTCACCATGGCAACATCCAACAGAGCTCCCCATCTCTTTATTACTGGTATCTTATTTTACCGCTCCCAATGATATAATGGCTCTATCTTGGCGGCTCCCTTCCGTCAGCAGCTATTCTAGTTCTCAGTCCTGATTCTGAATATATATACATACGTATATATATATATATATATATATATACATACGTATATATATATATATATATATATATACACACACACACATATATATATACACACACACACACACACATATCAACAAATATATATATATAAAACAAAGTTTGGATTTTCTGCATGAGGACTATTTGGGTGGATTTTTTTAATCAAGTAATTTCAATCATTTTTCTCATATATTTTATGCATCCCTATTCTGGTATCCGGTGAATAGTCAGGAGAGGTATGCTATTCTCATACACATATATGGAAAAGAATGTTTGTTTCCTCCCCTGGAAGAAGCTGTCCCAAACTTCTTTGAGTTTTAGCAGCATAGGGGAAATGATGAATGGCTCACATTCTTGTATGAACAACACCTGCCAGCCTGGAGCACAGGGCATACTGCAAATCGATATTGAGGGGAAAGAACCAGCCTGTGGAGCCTGTAAGAAGTTTAAGCTGCAGCCTGACAGAAAGATGGGAAACTAAAATTGCCTGGTGTTTCCCTGCCCTGTGTCTCGCCCCCTGCAGGTCACTGGGACCCTGGTTTTCACTGTCATCACTGCTGTGCTGGGTTCCTTCCAGTTTGGATATGACATTGGTGTGATCAATGCACCTCAACAGGCAAGTGAAATATGTAGAAGTTCTCTTTTTGGCAAGTTCTGTCAGTGATAGATATCATATGTTCCTCATACACAGAGATAAAGGGTGTCCACGTGGGAGACACAAGGCCATCCTGGCCTGTCAGGTACGATGTGCACTGTTCCAAAGCTGATAACTTGGCCTTGACTCCCTAATTAACAATCACGGGGGAAAAAAAAGGAGGCAATAAATAATTCTTAATCTCTGACTCTGCTGTTTGCTGAGCTCACAGAAAACTCCAGGCAGAATATCATGTGCTGAAGGATACTTTAGAAAAAAAAAAGAAAAAAAGAGCTTATTGCAACATTCATTCAGAGATCTCAGCCATACATGAATGAAAAGTGCCAGGGAATAAGGATATGTTTCACTCAGGGGACATTTTTTGAGCACCTGCTTATTTGCATCAGGTACTTTAACATATGATCTCCCCAGCTGGATCCTCTCAACAACCTTATTATGCCCATTTCCAGTCTACATTAAAACCTTAAGAAGCCCTAAACTAAAAGAGATTATGGTCCTTCCCCCTCCATTCCTGTCTCCCATAGGTGACCCAAAGTAAAATAATGTAAAACTTTAGAATAATATTCAAGAAGCTCAACAAAGTTTGGATTTTCTCCACGATGACTCCTTGGGTGAATTTTTAATCAAGTTATTTCAACCATTTTTCTCATATATTTCGTGCATCCCTATTCTGGTATTCAGTGAATACATGGGAGAGGTATGTTATTCTCAGCTCCCACAGCCCATAAGTCGGGGAACCAGGACTTCATTCCCCTCTGCTCTAACTCAGACTGTGAGGTCATTGAGGGCAAGACTGATGAATTGTTCCTCTTCCTATCACTGGTGCCAAGCACAGTAGTTGGCATAAAGAAGGTACTCAATAAAGAGGGGTGAATTAATGAAAGACAGAGAAGAGGAACCTGGGGAAGAGGTGGCATAAAGTGAAGGTACAAACATTTTTTCGGTGCCTTCTGTAAGTCCATTATATTTCCTCTGCTTCTTTTAGAACATTGAGCCCCAAGGAAAATGAAAGATACTGCAGGGTGTGGATATGTGAAATATGCGCTGACCATAATCCATCACCTGAAAAGGGCTGCTTCCTGCTGAAAGACGTGCTCCGATTAGGTGCTACAATCATCAGGAGTGTGGCAGGCTGAGAGATCCAGGGCATAGTGCTGGGGGTCAAGAGACAAGGGTCATATCTTTTTTGTGTGGGTGATGACAACACATGCCAATTTAGCAGGTTTCCTGGAATTTAACATCATTTAACAATTTAACATTCAACATCACCATGACTTGATTAATAGAGCCCCTTCTCTTTTTGTGGAAGACCTTATCACATCATTAATTGAACCATCCCTGGCCGGGCGCAGTGGCTCACTCCTGTAATCCCAGCACTTTGGGAGGCTGAGGTTGGCGGATCACCTGAGGTCGGGAGTTCGAGACCAGCCTGACCAACATGGAGAAACCCTGTCTCTACTAAAAATACAAAATTAGCTGGGCGTGGTGGCACATGCCTGTAATCCCAGCTACTCGGGAGGCTGAGTCAAGAGAATCACTTGAACCCGGGAGGCAGAGGTTGCGATGAGCTGCAATCGCACATTGCACTTCAGCCTGGGCAACAAGAGCAAAACTCCATCTCAAAAAAAAAAAAAAAAAAGAAAAAATTAAACCATCCCCTCCAGTCTTAGACGGAAGCTTAGGCTAAGGTTTCACCTCCTTCAATCCAAGTCCCAGAGCCAGAGCTGAAAACAGCGATCCCCATACTGGCGTCCAGGTTAGTGCTCTCTCTCTATATAGGCCCTTCCTTTTGTATTTAAAGAGCTGCTGAAACACCATTACATAAGAATGATTTTTTAAGCCTTTTTTTAATCAGCTGAATGACATTTGGGATTATTTGGAAGGATTTTAAAATCACACTTTCATATGGTTATGAAAATTACACATGCCTACTGAAGACAGTATTAGAAAAAAAAATACCCATAATTATTTGCTGAGAACATTTTGGATATTTCCTTCAGCTTTTTTTTCTATGCATATTATTCATATAAGGCAGCCTTCTAGTGAGGCAAATGTTTTTGTTTTAGTTTTTTGAGACAAAGTCTCACTCTGTCATCCAGGCTGGAGATTTTCACTTCAACCTCTGCCTCCTGAGTTCAAGCAATTCTCTTGCCTCAGCCTCCCAAGTAGCTGAGATTACAGGCTCCAGCCACAATGCCTGGCTAATTTATTGTATCTTTAGTAGAGACAGGGTTTTGCCACGTTGGCCAGGCTGGTCTTGAACTCCTGACCTCAAGTGATCTGCCCACCTTGGCCTCCCAAAGTGCTAGATTACAGGCATGAGCTACGGCACCCAGTCTGAGACAAATGTCTTGATCAGACTTCTTTTATAAGAGGATGCTCAATTCTTCCCCTCCCTCAGCTGGCATTACCAAACAGGCCTTTGCCCATAACTAGTAACCCAGAGCAGCTGCATTCCAGGTCCTTTTCAGAGAGTACCCTCCCAGCTCACTGATGCTAAATAGTGACCAAATCATCATTGAGAGGAATGACATGGGAGGAAGATGGCCTCGTCTTCCTCCCATGTCCTATAATTCATCTGAATTATATGAAGCATATTACAAAATATGGCTCCATGAAATTTAGTTTCCAATGTTGTCCATTCTGTTACACAGTTAACTCTATGAGGACCCACAGGAGAAACTTCCTTTGGGTCTCAATACCTTCTCAAGGGCCACTAACTTATTGTTATCTTAGGAATTCATCAATAATATACCCGGTTGTTTTCCTCTCTGCCCTGGTGGCTAGGAAGTTTACTGGTAAATCTATAGCTCACTTCCAACAAAGATACACCATCTAGTGTTTGAATTCTGTATGCTAACTTGATTTTTGACCCTCATCTTAACTTTCCCAGTCTTTTTTCTTATATCCACTTTTATGATTCTGTTAAAATATGTATAAGTCAATTTAAATCCTGCTGTGCAGAAGTAACACTAGCATGAAAATGTATCTTTTTAGCCTGCAGAATATATATATTTTTTGAGACAAGGTCTTACTTTCTCACCCAGGCTGGAGTGCAGTGGCTCCATCTTGACTCACTGCAGCCTCAACCTCGCAGGCTCAAGCAATCCTCCCGCTTCAGCCCCCTCCAAGTAGCTGGGACTACAGGCATGTGCCACCATGCCTGGGTAATTTTTAGTATTCTTCGTAGAGACAGGGTTTCACCATGTTGCCCAGCCTAGTCTCAAACTCCTGAGCTCAAGCAGTCCGCCCACCTCGGCCTCCCAAAGTGCTGAGATTATAGGTGTGAGCCACCGCGCCTGGCCTAGCCTGCAGAATAGTTTCAATTTCAATAGTTGCCAATATTTAAAACTCGAAAAAATTTACATAAAAACTCAGATTTCTGACTTTCTGTTAAAAAGTTAAAGGTCATCCAACACCAGTTTCACGTTTGCAGCTTCCTCTTGCTCCTCTAGTTCCACAATCCTGACCATTCCCTATTAGTCCCAAATAGTAGAAAATGTATTTTAGTCCCCTAGTCATCAAAGTATTACATGTTCCCTTCATTTATTTGTTCCTGCCTGGTTCTTGTTGGCAATGTAATTTATAACCTTTCTTTTATAGGATATGGCCAACTGTAAACAAATCTATCCATGTTTATATGTATATAAAACACATAATTGAGATGGTACTATTTAAACACGTAACAAACACTTTAAAGACAAAAACAAAAATACATAGAATGTTTGAAATAGTAAAGCTATTTTTCTTTATCTCCTAGGTAATAATATCTCACTATAGACATGTTTTGGGTGTTCCACTGGATGACCGAAAAGCTATCAACAACTATGTTATCAACAGTACAGATGAACTGCCCACAATCTCATACTCAATGAACCCAAAACCAACCCCTTGGGCTGAGGAAGAGACTGTGGCAGCTGCTCAACTAATCACCATGCTCTGGTCCCTGTCTGTATCCAGCTTTGCAGTTGGTGGAATGACTGCATCATTCTTTGGTGGGTGGCTTGGGGACACACTTGGAAGGTAGGCAAATTTCATAAATAAGCATAAACAGAAACTTTCATATTTTCATTTTCCTAACACTTGTTTAGAAAAATATTATCTTTCTTCTTGTGGAATAGCTTTAGAGTTGTTTTTTCAACTCATGACCCTATGAGGCATATCAGTGTTAGATCAAATCAATGAAAAAAGCTGTTGCGACAGTTTGGTTAATTGTTCAGACATTTATACCAAACATGAGTTTTGTGTGTATTTCTAGATAATTGCTTTGATCCTCTAGCTTTGTAAGTTATAAAATATACTAGGAGACCACTACACAAACGGTTAACTCAGGAACTCAGCAGAAGAGACTAATTAGAGTTTTTAACCTGGGAGTCCATTGTTTGCTTCACCAAATCACACTATGTCTCAAACATCCAGTTTTCCCTTTTTAAATTAGAATTTGGCATTCGGATCAGTCAAGTTCAAAGGTTCAGTCAACATCCCCAACTCCCAATTGCCCAATGTATTTGTTATGCGGTTTCTGGCTGCTGGTACTGCTTGCTATCTCAAAGCCCCAACCAGAGATGAAGCAAGAGATACCCCCATTTATCACTTGAGTTTCTGTTAGGTTTTTTGGATTAAAAACATCAGTGGAACTCCTTTACCCTCAAATTTTACTTATTCATGCAATGGACTACAGCTGTTAGGATTTCCCACCCTATATAAAGAGGAGATAAAACCAGAATATCAAATGATTATTTTTTAGATTTTCTCCTATTTGAGCCCACCTTTTGTGCATTACCTTTTTTTCTCATGATAAAAATAATATATGAAAAATTTAGAAAGTGAAAATGCCTTTAAAGATGTAAATAACAATTTAGGCAACTAGTTTAATAATTCTGGATTATAATTCACTTAGTTTTTCAATTCCTATTATAAATTATAATTTTTAGCTCTCTGGTTATTAAAATTCTGATAACTCTTCCTCTTATACTGGAGCTTTTATATAATATGACTATAAGTTTTCTTAACTACAATATCATGGTAACCCAAGTTTTATTATTATTTTTATTTGAAATGGAGTTTTCTCCACCATAAAAGACAGTGGTCAATTTCTTATATTTTAATCAACTTGCTGATGTTCAGTTGAACTTTAAATACGAATCTGTAAAATACGGATTAATAAACTGAATTTCATCATTTAAAAAAATTCAAAAATAATTTCAATGTGTATCAAGTTGGTTTAAGTAGTAAATGGAGAATTCTCTAGATTAATTATTTATTGCTAAAGTAAATTATTTCCTAGCAAGTGGGCTCAGACAAAAGGAAAAAGGAAAAATAATTTTAAAAAAAATTTTTAAGTAAATCAAATTAAGCAAAATTAAATTACGTTCTAAAATATGCACAAATCATTTAGCAACTACTGATATTTTATACTACTTCTCATTCCTGAAGAAAAAATGTAAACCCTGGTTGCCTCTCATTTAGAGGTAAGATTCTGATGAGTTCAGTGACTTAACCTAAAACATTTAATTAGTGTTAACATTTAATTAACATTTAATGGAGCCAATATACAAACCCTCTGAAGTCTTAGGATTTGGCATCAACAATGGTTATACCCCAAAACAATGTCAAATGACCACGTATCAAATGACCTATGGTAAACAAAAAGTGAGGTTTCTCCTAGCTTTTAGTAATAAAATGATCCCCCTTGAAAAGCAGCCCAAAAGTCCATAACTTCAACATCAAAATTAAGACAAAGTTATCAGTATCCCCATAAAATTATCTTTCTAGAGAGATTCATTGAGAAGTGACATGATTTTCATTATTACCAGTGTCATTTATCTACCAGTCAAAAGTAAATAAATAAAAATGTAATACTTCCATTATTGCCTTTAAAAAAAAAAGTGTTTCCTTGCAATTGTGTAATAGTCAACAGATGTCTGTGGCCACCATTTTATAGTTTTGGGTTTGCAAGGCCAATTTTTCCAACCTATGCATTTACAGTTTAATTACCAGGGTACGGTAGAGAAGACTATGGTCTGTGCAATCCACACTACCATGAGTAAAGGAAGCGATGCATAGCTTGCCTTTGAAGGCATGCATTCTTTCCCATCAAAAATGGAACTCATTAAAATGATACATTACCCTTTGGTTTCACACAGATCAAGTCCAAGATCTGTCACTTAATAGCTGTATGAAAATGAGCAAGTTATTAGGTTCTCTAAGACGTTTTCCTCCCATCTGCAATGTGAAAACAAAAATAATACCTACCTCATGGCATTATTGTGAGGATTTAATGACAACAAATATAAAAGGTTTAAAACAATGCCTGACATTTATTAAGCAAACACCAAATGTGGCCTCATTTTGATGATGATGATGATGATGATGATGACGACAATGACCATGACCACGACAATAATCGAGCCTATACTATCTGAAGTATTTAGAGTCAGATTTTAAGAAATATGCTTACATAGAATTAAGCTTCTTTTTCCCTGATTCAGCTATTTCATGTATTTTTTAAAGTATTTATTTGTGGCCATTTCTAATATCTGAACAGAAGTTAAAAGAATTTAAATTACATAAAGTGTTCCTGCATCCTTTGGTGGTAGGGAAAGGGGACTTTAGGGCATCAAAGATTCTTCCAGGCTATTTCTTTTATGACTTTTTATCTTTTTTCCCCTAATAAAAGAGACTATTAGCTAGGTGGTAACAACTTGTTAAGGTCAATTATTGAATTTGCCTGCCCTCTGTCCCTGTGTAGATAAAAAGCATTTCACAATAGTCTAAACTACTAAACACCCCTTAAACTATTTTTCTACTCTGTAGCTCTGGGGCTAGCCAGCTCTAAATCACTCTGTTTCCCTATACTCATTTCACATTGCTGCTGTAATGAATTATCCCCAATTTAGTGGCTTAAAACAACACAAATATGTTTTCTTATAGTTTTGGAGGTCAAAATTCCAAACTCAGTTTTAGTTAGCTAAAGTCAAAATGCCAATAAGGCTGGTTCCTTCTGGAGGCTTTGAGGGAAGAATGCATTCCTTGCCCTTTTCCAGCTTGCAGTGACCAACTATAGTTCTCTGGCTTGTGGCCCCTTCTTCCATCTTTGAAGCACAACATTCTAATCTCTACTTCTGTCATCATATCACCTGCTCCTCTTCTACCTTACTCTTATCAGGACATTTGTGATTACATCATTGGATTCACTCAGATAATTGAAGATAATCTCCCCATCTCAAGATTCTCAATCACATCTGCAAAACCTCATTTGCTATGTGACGTAACATTTACAGAGTCTGGGGATTATGCTGTAGGCTGCCAGGGGACATGATTTAGCCTATCACGTGGATGTTGGACAATCACTGCAGTATGTGACTTTATAGTTTTATGCTCCAGAAAAAAAAAATTCTGTTTGGTTGGTGTTAAAGATACTTGCATGGAAAAGGCCCACCTATCAAAGTTTGAAGCAGTGAAATAGAATATAACAAGGACGTTTACATTTCTTTTGGCACAAACATTTTCACACCTGTCTACTCAGGCATTTATTGGCCTTACCATTATCTGCTTGACTGCAAAAAAGGTTTTCTGTGTACCTCGCTTTCCCATTAATTAGAAATAAAAGTAACAGATATCTGCAAATGTTGTCAATTTTCATCTGATTAATTTTGAAAGTGTTTTTGTTGCTATTGTCAGCTCTATTATGTATTTTACATTGGTCACTAATAATTTATAGATTTTGGAAATATGCTGGCATACAATATTAAAATACAGATAATTATAATTCTCTAGATAAGGCTTAAAAGTATGTTTTAAATTACTTCCAAATAATTTATACAAAAGGAAATTTAACTTTGAAAGTTCCTTTCCTATCTAGATTAAAAACCTGTGCCATTGAAAGAAAAAAAAAGTTGTAGGTTACAACTATAGAATTGAATTTAGCTATCACCAGACAATTATTCTTTAAAACAATCAACTTAGAGAAAACTTAGTTAACTCTTTGAAAAACTGTCATAAGTGTTATCTTAAGCTTGTCCTCACCAGGATTGAATCATCTCTATCAAAATGTAGAGATTAGGCTTGAGCCTGGGAGGTCAAGACTTCAATGAACCATGATGGTGCCTTTGCACTCCAGCCTGAGTGACAGAGCGAGTGAGACCCTGTCTCAAAATAAAATAGAAAAATGTAGAGATCAGGTGGATGCAACCTAGGTTATCCCATCATAAGTCTTGCTTATTAGTAATACTTTAGTCCATAGATGAGTCAAATTAGCAATCTTGGTTCAAGATTCCCCAACTAGCTTTTACAGCAAAATTAAAATAATTGCTCTTAGGTTAAAAAAAATCTCAACATGCTCTGAAAGCGAATAATTTTAGCAAGTTTTGATGCTGAATTTATATTCCTTGCTTTTTAAAATTTCAGAATCAAAGCCATGTTAGTAGCAAACATTCTGTCATTAGTTGGAGCTCTCTTGATGGGGTTTTCAAAATTGGGACCATCTCATATACTTATAATTGCTGGAAGAAGCATATCAGGACTATATTGTGGTAAGTCACACACACACACACACACACACACACACACACACACACCTACCTTTGTCTGAAAGTAACTCTAAAGGCGGATGTGGTAGCACTCAGGGATATTTTTGAGTCTAGGGTGACATCACAGAGGGAAAGGCAATAGCATAAAGTTGAAATCCTGAGTTGGGAGGTTTGGGACCAGTAAGTAGGAATTATGATGCTATCAAGGTTCTCGTCCATGGCAATGACATCATTTCTAGTTGTATGATCACAGACAAATTATTTAACTCTGACTCTCAGTTGCTTCATTTATTAAATGAAGTGGATAATAATATCTACCTTATAGGGTGATTGTGAGAACATATGTAAAACGTTCCGCATAGAATCTGACATACAGTAAGCTACCAGTAAATGCTAGCCGTTGTTATTACTGCTGTGGTATAGCAGACAGTGGGAGACTGCTATACCACGACCCTTAATTCTGCCCTTATGGACTACCTGGCTGCCATGTCTCCATCTCTTCTATCTGACAAGACCTTAACACTCTGAACCCATCTCTTAGACCACATTCCCCAGCCCTGTATGATTCTAGACATGACCGAGTGAAGCATTACAGTGGTGGTGTCCATAGGGAAAGTGAATCAGAGAGAAGCAGCTGATATTTAAAAGTTCAGAATAAAGGAAGGAGGTTCCTCCCACAAACTTTATTCTGAATAGTGGGAATCGCTAGTTCTTGGAGACAGCTTTTCAAACATTCAGAGGCAACTAATTAGCAGACATCTGAAGAAAGGGAGAATCATTCAATCTCTCTCTAAAACAAATGGCTAAATCTGTAACTTCTGCCAATGAAGCTCTGATTTTGACGGTGCTAGGTTGAGATTTTAACCCATTTTCACAAGACGTAGTTGCCTTTCAAGGCACCTCTATCCATGGGGATGGGGAAGGAGTGGTGAGGACGTAAGATTTGTATATAAAAGTATTTTTAACACTTTTACCTACAGAAAAGACTTGAATTCCATGTATCTTCAATGATCAGTTGAAGCAAAAGACTAAAATATCAAGTTAACAGTCTAATTAAATCTCTTTTTATTATTTTCATTGTTAATAAAAATAACTGAAGATCAGTGTAGCTTTATCAAGGTAAAGAGTCAACCCCAAATGTGGAAAGGGCTTTGAATTCAGAGCAAATAAATTCTGGCACTGTCTCTGCATGGCCTTAAATATTAAATCTGAGCCTCAGTTTCTTCTCCCATAAAATGCAGATAATAACACTATGAACGAAGTCCCAATTATGATTCTTCTTTCTTTTCTCTCCATTTAAAAAAATACAGTGTGAAAAAAATATACAAAATGTTTTTGGTAAAATTGAAAACAAATGCTATAAATATATTGTAAAACAACCTCTAAGTAGCATAGCCAACCAACTTGTACTCCCTAACTATCTTCTAAAATTATGTTTGGCCCTATTCTGAGCATTAAAGTTCCTAAAAATTATAGGAAATATAATTTGACTTCAAGTTCATGTGACTTCAGACCTGTGAGCTTATCTACATTATTCTGTTTTTCAGGTATAGTATTAGCTATTACAGAAAGATAGTACAACTTAGAATTGAGCCAAATAAATGATTTTTTTCTTACTTAAGATCAACAGGCTACACATTAAAAGTCACCTGTAAAATTCAGCTGAAATACAGATACCTTATCACACATGTAAATGTTCATTTGAGACATTAAGAACAATTTGAAGCATTAAAAAATATATTTTGAAAACAATTGTCAAAGCATCTTTTACACAAAGATCATCCATTTCAATTTGATAGGCAGGTAGTTTCTAAGAAGAAGCCTCTGCAAATCCTATTTTTAAATAGTTAAGAAAATGCCAAACATTTAATTCAGCCTTGCCTGTCGATAGTCTCTGAACTTTTTATGCAGTCAGCAAATGGCTGGACATTCCACCATTTCCAGCACGACTGATTACATGTGCATTTAAGAAAGCTTCAGAAGGCAGAATGAGCTAGTGCTTTCCAATGTTTTGTATTCGTTTAAGTACCAAAAGTCTTTCTTCAAATAAAATTTTTTCGAAGCCTAATATTTGAATAGAATAAAGAAGCTGGGTTTCCCTGGTTTCTAACTGGGGAAGAGTCCTTAAGATCCTTAACCTCTTCTACCTCTCTGCACCTCCCCTCGCCCCTCGTCACCACCTTAACAGTGATCTTGAGGGCCCTCTACGTTGTGGAAATTCAGATAGGGCATGCTGTTCTCACACTAATGCTCTGTTGCTTGTGATCTTTGGCAAGTTGTTACTCAACATCTATCAAGAGGTTGGTGGAGATATGTTCTGATTTCCTTTAATCCCATGAGCCCTAATTAAGAATATTATTAAAACATTCTTCAATTTCTTTTCTGAAGATAACCTAAGGCATTATGATGTAAACTAAAAATTAACATGAATTTTAATTAAATAAGATGATGTAATGAAGAACTGTCAAATACATGACTAAGCATTTCTTTCTATTCATGTTTCCAACTACAACTGCATATGAGGTCATATCAAATATCTCCTGCACAAACTATGTCTATACCTAGGAACAAGGGTTCATCCTTCCAGTGAATTCAGGGAGGGGCTTTCATTCAAGATATATACTGTACTTAAACCAAATTGTTATTATTGAGATAGTCCTGGTTGCACTTTAACATTTATGTTTATGTTTCATGCAGGGCTAATTTCAGGCCTGGTTCCTATGTATATCGGTGAAATTGCTCCAACCGCTCTCAGGGGAGCACTTGGCACTTTTCATCAGCTGGCCATCGTCACGGGCATTCTTATTAGTCAGGTAAAAACTCCCCATCCTTATCCCCTACTGCACCCATCTACTTCATCCTCTACAGTACCACTACTACTATTGCATCCCCTACTGTACTTCCTCCACTTCATCCATCTCGTCCCTCCCTGACTGTCCATTCTCACTGTAGACCAGCACAGAGAGAAAAGCCAATTCTACCAGTGGTAGTGGAGGTGGTGTAGAGACATAGAGTTTTTCGTTCAAAGGTAAATTATTATCACTCCTCACTTTTCCCCTTGGAATTGTTGGTGGGATAGCACTGGAGGTGACCTGGCAAGCCAGGTCTTAACTTTAGAGCTATTCTAGAGTTAAATTATTCCATTTAGATGTCAAGAAATAGAAAACTTCGTGTTTGACTGCCTGGGTTTCCTTTGTTTTAAACATCTTACTTGGGAATCTAATATGTAAGTGATTGCCACAGGAACTCCTGTTCAGCTGAGTCTATCCTTCCCTTCTACCCTATGGTGTCAAAGGGAGTCTGGGACCCCACACCTACGACAATCCAGAGGGTAGTCTATAAACTGTTGCCATAGGAATCGCCAAGACAGTTCTCATCACAGTAATTGTTCTATCTATAAAACCCCTTTCTATAAGTTCTGGGTAATATAAGAAGGAAATATCAAGCAAAGGTCCAAAGTCATGGATGATTTTAACACAGTATTATTCTATCTGGTTGCCTGGAGAATACAGCTATGTGTTGCTTTAGATATCAAGTACGTATTTTTGCCTAAGCTTGGTTGATTCTCATCCTGACTGTCCAATTGGAGTTAATGAAACCTAGGGTAATTCCTTATATAACAAATAGTTCCTAATTTAGTTAAAGTGAGATAAAAAAACCTAGGTTAATTCCTTATATAACAAATAGTTCCTAATTTAGTTAAAGTGAGATACAATAGTAACAGTTTCCGTTTTTACTTGAACCAAAGTTGTCAGAGACTACTATTAAATAGCCAAAGTACTTTTTCAACAAACTAGTGTAAAAGGTAGATCCAAAGTATTATGTAGTTGATATACTTCCTCCTTGCATTTTCAGATTATTGGTCTTGAATTTATCTTGGGCAATTATGATCTGTGGCACATCCTGCTTGGCCTGTCTGGTGTGCGAGCCATCCTTCAGTCTCTGCTACTCTTTTTCTGTCCAGAAAGCCCCAGATACCTTTACATCAAGTTAGATGAGGAAGTCAAAGCAAAACAAAGTAAGTCTGTGGATGGTTTTTCTTTCTTCCTATTGTTTTGGCATTATCAGCTAATGTAAAACAGTGCTTTCCACATGAAGTTGGTGATTAAATGTAAGAAGAATGTGCAAAATCGCTTTTATATGACTGGTGCATGTCATTTGGCACCCATAGGCATTCACTTAAGCCGAAACCAGAAATCCATACACACGGTATTAGACTCAACCAGAGGTTTCTAAAAGATCCCTCCAGCATTATGCTTCTAATATAATGAGGATCATAGTTTTATTTGTCATAAGATGAAGCCAAATGTTCTATTTTTCTTTTAAATCAAAGAGCAGGATCTAATTTAACAAAAAAAGAATTTCCAACACCCATGCTATTAAGTAATACAATGGGGCATGCAGAAATGTAGCTCTTTCATTAACATAAAAATAAATTTCTTTTTGTTTTGGCCTGAGTTGTTTCAACCTGATCATTTTCTTGGACAGGCTTGAAAAGACTCAGAGGATATGATGATGTCACCAAAGATATTAATGAAATGAGAAAAGAAAGAGAAGAAGCATCGAGTGAGCAGAAAGTCTCTATAATTCAGCTCTTCACCAATTCCAGCTACCGACAGCCTATTCTAGTGGCACTGATGCTGCATGTGGCTCAGCAATTTTCCGGAATCAATGGCGTAAGTTTAAGAACACCCACTAACTCTTAAGAGCACAGTGAATTAAAATAGGGAAGGCAAGGGGTACAAGTTTAAATAGCTAAAAGATATTTTAAGGTATTGGCATCATGGGTCTTGCTATAACAAACGTACATTGAGTAAGCATTAATTTCCATTTTGCTTCAAAAGTTTTCTAAAATTACTTAACAATTTTTTAAAGTGTCAACAGTCAATGGTACTATATATCTATTAAGGTGAAGGCAAAAAGCAAAAATCTTAATACATACAAGGAGGGAAAAGGAGAATAATTATACAACCCTCCCCCAAAAAACTGCAAGGAGCTTCTACAGTTGAGTATTGAATTTAGGATTTCTGATAGCCCAAGCCAAATGGAGTCAAGGGTTCCCTTTATCTATTTAAATGAAGTATACCAGATAGCCAGGTGCAAAGAGCAGTTCCTGCCATCTAAGAAATTTTCACTCCATTTGAGGAGATAGCACACAAAATAAATAATAGAGTAAACTGGCATGATATTGTTGACTAAGGACGGTAGACAATACATGATTGAAAAACATACTGAGCATTAAACTAGCTAGCTTTTAGGTCTTACACTGAAACCCCTGCATCATGCAGACCAAGATGGTTCTACTGACAATTGACTACTAGAGGAAAAAATTAAGCATTTGTTAAGAAACTAGATTAAAAAAAAAAAAACACCACTTCTCCCCTTTTGTTGCTGTTAAAAATGTAAACTGGACATTTGCTGTAGTGAGCCAATGCCAAATCCACATGGGACACTTTGTGGGTGATTGAGAGATGGGCAAACACTTGGGGGAGGCAAAGGAAGTAATTCCCATCCATTGAAACAAAATGAGACCTGAACCTCACTCCACAAACTCCACTGTGGTCTCCGTCCTCCTTTAAGAGGTCCTTGATGTTTATTTTTATTAATACTCTGTATAACTTTGAGGCTCAGAGACCAAACTCATATCTCCCATCTCAGCTCTGTCTGTATATTCAATGGCATAAAATTTAATTTCTCTGAACCTTACTGTTTCAGCTTCCATCCCAGTGCCTGACTTAAAGAGGAATCTAGGAAATGTTGAACCTGAGGCTGTTGGGCAGCCTAAAAATGGTGGGATAGTGTGAAGCGTGCTGTAGGCCTCTATGCACTGAACACAGTTGGCACAGTCCTCTACCTCAGTCCTGTCTGCAGGAAGAGGTACCAGCAATAGGACACGTTAGGTGGGGAAGGAATGACAAAGGATGATGGATAGCAGAATGACCTAAAAGACATAAATATATAAACATAACTAAATTTTAAAAGGCTATTAGAAAGGTTGTGAACAAAATTTCTCCATGTCTACTGAGACTAGTGAAATTTTCTGGATTAAATGCAATAGCAACTAGACCTCTTATACATGCTGGTGAGACTGTAAAATTGTCATAACTTCTTTCAAAAACTATCTGGCAATATCTATCAAAGTTGAGCACATGCCTACACCATGGTCCAGCAATTCTATTCCTAGTTATAAATGCATACATATTCCACCAAAAGGATTGTACTAGAATGTTCCTAGCAGCACTATTCATAATCACTATTCATTATTACTATTCATAATCAATAGCTAAAAGACATTTAAAAATGTTGACATCATGATGTGTCTTGCTACAACAAATATATATTGAGTGAGCATTAACTTTCGTTTTGCTTCAAGTTTTCTAAAATTACAATTTTTAAAAACGTCAATAGTCAATGGTACTATATGTCTGTTTAATATTAAGGTGAAGGCAAAAGGCAAAAATCAAAATAAATACAAGGAGGGAAAAAGAATAATTACACCCGCCTCCCACCCTCCCCCCCAAAAAAAACTACATTGCAAGTGGCTTCTAGAGTTGAGTATTGAATTGAGGATTTCTGATAGCCTAATGAATAGTAAATTATTCATTTAGGAATGGCAGCTACCTAAATACTCATCAATAGAATAGTAGTAAATCGTGGTATATTAATATAATAAAATACTACATAGTAATGATAGTGAACTGTCTACAATACACAATAAGGATGATTCTCACAAAGGTAATGTTGACTAAAAGAAGCCAGGCACAAAATGATACATATTATGTGGTTCCATTCACATCAAGTACAAAAGTAGACAAAATTTATCTATGATGTCAGGAGTTGTAAGAGTGGTTTCCTTGGGATAAGTGATAAAGGGAGATTTAAGAAGTTTCTGGAGGGGTGGAAATTATTTATCTCTTGATCTGGGTGCTAGTTACATAGGTGTGTTCAGTTTGTGAAAATTAATTAAGCTGCATATTTATGTGTACTTTTCTATGTATATTATACTTTAACAAAACGTTTCAATTTATTTACAAAAATAAAGAAAATGCAGTAGCAGAGTTCTCAACTAAATATAAGGAGGACGTTTAAGCAATCAGAAGCTTTAAACACTAAAGGAAGACTGAGGGTTCTCTTCCTTGGAAGGAGAAAATCTGTACGAAGTTCTAGGGTGCATGCCGCTATAGAAACAACTAAAAATAAACAATCTAAAATATTTCTTGCTTTAAAGATATCAGTGCCAGACTTCTTAAGATTAAGGCTAACCTGTTTTTACTTTGCAGATTTTTTACTACTCAACCAGCATTTTTCAGACGGCTGGTATCAGCAAACCTGTTTATGCAACCATTGGAGTTGGCGCTGTAAACATGGTTTTCACTGCTGTCTCTGTAAGTCAATGCCCTAGATAAATACTCTGCTTGTTCCTTAGTCCAGAAATTGCAGGAGGGGTGGGGAACTTCGGCTCTAAAAGCAATCAATGACTTATTGTACACATGCTCTAAGTGTGTAAACCCAAGTGAGTCATGAGAAGAGTCCTGTTTGAATAAGCCAACCACTGCATTGAGATTAGGCATAACTGAGGTGAATCGCTGATTCTCTGCACTGCTGGGATGCCATTTAGTCACTCATTTGTGAATTTTTAACTCACTTGGGGACACAGAGAACTTCCTCCTTGTGCAGATTCCTAGGTTCCTTCTTTTCTCTGTACATAAACCCCTTGGGAGTAGCTGACAGCTTGTCATTTCTATTGATATTGGATGGTCTACTTAGATTCCTCTTTTTACATAGTTCAAATTCTTTTTTTTACCATGTGCCTTGGGGGAAACATATAAAAATAAATAAACAAGGCCCTCTCTAACAGACATTTAAGCCTTTAAGCAAAGTTAAACAGACTCAGCAAATGGTATTAAGCCATTGAGCAGAGCTTCCAAGTAGTTCACAAGGTTGTGGCTTCCGGTGATGCATGAGAGTATGTGTGAGATTATGAGGGAAGTGACATAGTAACTAGAAATGTTATTGTTTTCTTCCAACAAAAAAAAAAGTCATATACTCTTCTTAAAACCAAATAACTTTATATAAGAAGTGATGGTTCTTATATATTAAGGATATATAAGAAGTGATGGTTCTTATATATTAAGGATATATAAGAAGTGATGGTTCTTATATATTAAGGATATATAAGAACCTGACAACAAGAATATCTAACATAATAATCTAAGAAGTAAACAAACAACAATAAAGACAAAAACTCCCCAACTAATGTAATTCACTGTAGAATGAGAGTCATTGAGCTTATTTTTATCTTTGTTCAACAAGATAAAAACAGCAAAAAGTTTATTCTTTTCAATTTTAGTCACAATACTATACTCAATATAATTTAGTCACTTGTTTTTTATTCTCTGCACATGAACTCTTAACTATTACCTTAGGGTGATCAATAAATTACAGCCTGGCTACCCAGATCAAAAGGCAGGTTTGTCCAGACCACATTAAACAGTGCTGGACCTTGGAAAGAGCAGGAAAAACAGATAATAACGAAACACCAATGGTTCTGTAGACATACCTTTAGAGATAAGGCCTGTTTAAACCAAAAGGCCACTCTAAATCAATCAAGACCTGTTTCTGAAGTGCAATCCAAGGGACTATTCACCCTTTTGTCTCCTGGAATATTTTTTACAAATTCTTCAACATATTTTTTATGATAGATTATTATTAAAACATTTTGTGTATAATAGGATTTTCTATGTAAAGCATCAAATTGTCAAGATTGGGTAGCCTAAATTCTGAAAAAATCTAAAGAGGAAACTTCTGTAAAGTTTCATTTTTGCACCCTGCTCCCAACCCCACTGATGTGGGAGGAGTTGTTTAAGACAGTGTCCTAATTATTTTGAATGTACCTTTTTAGAGTCCATCCTTTGATTCTGTTTAAGTTTTTGAACAGGGAAGTGACATAATCTTTTAAAACCAGTCCAAATCATTAATTAAGCCTCCAGGACTACAGATCACATTTAAAATTTTTAATTATATTAATTTTTGAAACATTGTTTTAAAGTTCAAAAAGTATAAAAAGGATAGTCCCTCCGTCACCCAGTTTCTCTCCCCAAAATTAACCAATGTTACCAAATTGTGTGTGTACTTTCAAATAAAAATATGCAAATAGAAATATGCACTGAATATATTAATGTTTCACCAAATTGGAAGAACATCAGTTTGTTTTTGGGAAGAGAGACTTTCCCAACTCCACACTAATTGTGTTCCACATCCTATATTTTCTTCCACACTAATGGGCTGGTAGAAGAGGGCCTGTAATCTTGAGAGAAAAAAAGCAGAAAGAAAATGGAGGGATCTAGGAAGCAGGATGACACTGAGAAAGAAGCGGTGACTACCAAATTGGAACTAAGAGCCCAGGATTTGCGTGAGGCCCTGGGGCAAAGATGAGCGTTCTAATTGGGAAGACATCTCCAGCCACTGACCATGTCTCACTCCTTGTCACACTCATCCTGAGTGTACACCAGGCCTCAGGGACAGAGGCCAACTCAATTTTCAAGATGTTCAGTTTTAGAGTTTATAGTAAGGGAGCTTATTCACAAAGAAATGCTTCTATTTTCTTGGTAGCTTGACGTGGTGGCACCAAGCCAGTTTTGAACATCATAATAAAAGAGTTAAAATATAGAGAGAAATTTAATGAACTTGAGAAAAGTCTGTTTTTTCCAACTTCCTTCTCAATAATTAAATATGTGCTCTTAGCTTATCATCTTATCTGAAGTGATTTAAAACTCTGATATGAGTGTGCCTCTGAGAAACAGGCTTTCACTGTAGGTGAAATGTTTCTAAGATGTCTTCAGAGCCAGAGCTCACTATACTAAAGACATTGGATTGCTATTGATTTACTGATAGGCTGATGAGCCAGCCAACTTGCTCACCAGGTGCCAAAGTGAGAAATTATGACAGGAAGTTTTGTGGGGGGTGAGGGGGAGAGTGACTCACCAGCCTTGGTAATATTCCAAGGATCAGGCAAGAGTATAACAAACTCTGGTCTTGGCTAATTGTAAAACTTAACCATTAATGCAAAGGTCCACAAAACTAAAGGAATCAATGACGTATCTCCTCAGTTAAGATAAGAAAGCATTTTAACCCTTTGCTTTAAAGTGCTAACTTTTAAAACGAATAGTTCACTCCCAGCACAAGATACAATTAAGCATACCAGAAAAATGCAGGCCTATTTTGGTTCAATTATCAAATTCCACATGTTGCTAGGTGAGTGGTCATAATAGGACTTTATTAAGCAGTGAGAAAATTGGATGAGAATAGTTGACACCTGAACAGTTGTACTGTTTCCGGTGTCAATAGTGCACAGACCCTTGTAATTATAACTTAGGATAACTATTAGAAAATAAGTTAATGTCATGTTTAAATGTGGAACCTTCAAATTTTAAATGTACAGGACATCTATTGGAAGAGACCCCAGCTGTACAGTCTGTGAATATTGTACCCAAAGTGATAATCCTGGAGTAGTGGTAACATTATGGTTCTATCTCTATAATGGTCTATTCAAACCAATGTGACTAAATTAAGCAGATATTTGATCATTACCCGCTGTCCACTGAAACTAGCTCTGCCACCTGGGGCTAGAGTCACTCCCCACCTTGATCTCACTCCTGTAAAATGGAAGGATGGAATTGCCTCTTATCTGTTATATAAATTAAAATGACCTCTTTGGCAGTAAAAATGATTTAAGTAAACAGTCAATATTTTGTGACTCACAAAACTGAGATAATTTCTTTAAAATTGTCCTAGGTATTCCTTGTGGAGAAGGCAGGGCGACGTTCTCTCTTTCTAATTGGAATGAGTGGGATGTTTGTTTGTGCCATCTTCATGTCAGTGGGACTTGTGCTGCTGGTAAGTTTGGTGCCTGCACTGAGGTTTTTCATTAACATATGATGGTACCTGGCACCTCTGTGGTCCAGGTTAAAGTGCTTTGTATTCAAAAATATTTGAGACTGACTTACGAAATAAAGCCAGAGCAACAGCATAAAATCAAAGGAGATATATAAAGAAAAGATGAACTAGTTTCTTGGGTTTAAGACTGAATATCAGCATGTAAATTCTGGTTGTCATCCAGGGAGGCCATGTACCCATGGTTAGAGCATAGGCTCTGGATTCACCGCCAACTGGGTTTTAATGCTGACTCTGCCACATGGCTTCCTGTGTGACCTTGGGCATGTACCTGAACCTCTGCCCTCCTGGCATTGTCATCCACTACTTCACAGGGAGCTAAACATCTTGTCTGGAAACCTTAGTATGAGCAGAAGCAAAGGTCACTGGATCCTTGCCCTGCCTCTTTTACAGGAAAATCCTAATCCAGAGGATTTCCTTATAAGAAATCTAAAGAGTTATGCATGATTCAGACTAGAATAATTTCTCTCAGAATAGAATAACTTATACTTGCTTGAACAAAATACATTAGAAAAAGTTGTATGCCGCCTGTGAACTCAGAGGCTACTTAGCTAAAGGAAAAAGCAGCCAAATGATCTCAGTCCCACTATTGTTTTTGTTTTTTTCCTCAGAATAAGTTCTCTTGGATGAGTTATGTGAGCATGATAGCCATCTTCCTCTTTGTCAGCTTCTTTGAAATTGGGCCAGGCCCGATCCCCTGGTTCATGGTGGCTGAGTTTTTCAGTCAAGGACCACGTCCTGCTGCTTTAGCAATAGCTGCATTCAGCAATTGGACCTGCAATTTCATTGTAGCTCTGTGTTTCCAGTACATTGCGGTAAGCAGCCTAATATTCCACAGATTTACTGAACAGAAGAGAGGGTCAAAAAACTGCTAACTCAAAGTCTGTGTTTGCTTTCTATCCAGGACTTCTGTGGACCTTATGTGTTTTTCCTCTTTGCTGGAGTGCTCCTGGCCTTTACCCTGTTCACATTTTTTAAAGTTCCAGAAACCAAAGGAAAGTCTTTTGAGGAAATTGCTGCAGAATTCCAAAAGAAGAGTGGCTCAGCCCACAGGCCAAAAGCTGCTGTAGAAATGAAATTCCTAGGAGCTACAGAGACTGTGTAAAAAAAAAACCCTGCTTTTTGACATGAACAGAAACAATAAGGGAACCGTCTGTTTTTAAATGATGATTCCTTGAGCATTTTATATCCACATCTTTAAGTATTGTTTTATTTTTATGTGCTCTCATCAGAAATGTCATCAAATATTACCAAAAAAGTATTTTTTTAAGTTAGAGAATATATTTTTGATGGTAAGACTGTAATTAAGTAAACCAAAAAGGCTAGTTTATTTTGTTACACTAAAGGGCAGGTGGTTCTAATATTTTTAGCTCTGTTCTTTATAACAAGGTTCTTCTAAAATTGAAGAGATTTCAACATATCATTTTTTTAACACATAACTAGAAACCTGAGGATGCAACAAATATTTATATATTTGAATATCATTAAATTGGAATTTTCTTACCCATATATCTTATGTTAAAGGAGATATGGCTAGTGGCAATAAGTTCCATGTTAAAATAGACAACTCTTCCATTTATTGCACTCAGCTTTTTTCTTGAGTACTAGAATTTGTATTTTGCTTAAAATTTTACTTTTGTTCTGTATTTTCATGTGGAATGGATTATAGAGTATACTAAAAAATGTCTATAGAGAAAAACTTTCATTTTTGGTAGGCTTATCAAAATCTTTCAGCACTCAGAAAAGAAAACCATTTTAGTTCCTTTATTTAATGGCCAAATGGTTTTTGCAAGATTTAACACTAAAAAGGTTTCACCTGATCATATAGCGTGGGTTATCAGTTAACATTAACATCTATTATAAAACCATGTTGATTCCCTTCTGGTACAATCCTTTGAGTTATAGTTTGCTTTGCTTTTTAATTGAGGACAGCCTGGTTTTCACATACACTCAAACAATCATGAGTCAGACATTTGGTATATTACCTCAAATTCCTAATAAGTTTGATCAAATCTAATGTAAGAAAATTTGAAGTAAAGGATTGATCACTTTGTTAAAAATATTTTCTGAATTATTATGTCTCAAAATAAGTTGAAAAGGTAGGGTTTGAGGATTCCTGAGTGTGGGCTTCTGAAACTTCATAAATGTTCAGCTTCAGACTTTTATCAAAATCCCTATTTAATTTTCCTGGAAAGACTGATTGTTTTATGGTGTGTTCCTAACATAAAATAATCGTCTCCTTTGACATTTCCTTCTTTGTCTTAGCTGTATACAGATTCTAGCCAAACTATTCTATGGCCATTACTAACACGCATTGTACACTATCTATCTGCCTTTACCTACATAGGCAAATTGGAAATACACAGATGATTAAACAGACTTTAGCTTACAGTCAATTTTACAATTATGGAAATATAGTTCTGATGGGTCCCAAAAGCTTAGCAGGGTGCTAACGTATCTCTAGGCTGTTTTCTCCACCAACTGGAGCACTGATCAATCCTTCTTATGTTTGCTTTAATGTGTATTGAAGAAAAGCACTTTTTAAAAAGTACTCTTTAAGAGTGAAATAATTAAAAACCACTGAACATTTGCTTTGTTTTCTAAAGTTGTTCACATATATGTAATTTAGCAGTCCAAAGAACAAGAAATTGTTTCTTTTCAGTGTGATTTGTTTTTCATTTGGGCCAATTTGGGATAAACTATTTTCACTTGGGATTTCAGGATACAGTCAAAATAAGCTTAAATAACTCAGGACATCTTTGTGCTAAACTGTGAACTCTGGACAAAAATAGAGAGTCTCTGAATAGGGCAGGAGCAGGAAAATGGCTCCTGGGTGGCTCTTGTATGCTTCTTCAGGATGCTGATGGCCTTTGGGAAGCCCAGTGTAAACAATGATAAAGGAGCTTAACACTTTTATAGGTGATACATGTGATTTAATCAAATCACTATTCCTGATCTCATTTACTAACAGAATAAAGTGGTAAATATTTAAATTAAAAATTCCAAAGACCACTTTTAAGTGCTTCTTCACTATTTTGACTGGCCCACAAACACCAGAAATTCAGACCCTGAAGTTTTCTGCCTCAGAGAAATTTAAGTACCTTATATTGTTCCCCTTCTACAACTTTTTCCTTGCAGAGATACATGTGAGTTGACAAGAAACATTAAAGGGAAATAAGAAGAAGCTGATAAAGCTTTATAGGAGGACCAAAGAACTAGCTTACTATAATAAAAAAATTTTAAGTCTTCAAGGGTATACATCATAATAAAAAATCAAATTGACAGTAATTAATTAAATTTAATCCCAGGGAAATTAGATGTGAATTTGAACACCTAACTTTCCATGTACTCTCTCATTTTTGTGGAAGTGTTTCTATACTCTAATGCCTTTACAAATGTGATTTTTCTCTTAGCTCATTTGAAGTATGAGAATTAGAGTTTTTGGTCTCGCATTCACCTGCTACATCTAGGATTGCCCACTGTCATGACTCCCAGGAAAAGGTCCTATCTTAGCTTCCTCCTCCCTACTTTCCTCTACATGGTCAGCACTGTAATGTAGCTAAGATATAGTAAGGCATTGCTCCCTCCCCCTACACTTCAAGGAGTTCACAGTCTAATGGGGAGTTCAGGAAGGCCAGAGTATTAATATCCCCATCTGTGTCTTTTGCCTTCCATGAACCTGGGTTTTGAGCCCTCTCTTGTAAAATGGGCACAGTAATATTACCTACCTCAGGGAGTTGTGAGGATTAAACATGAAGTGCTAAGCATAGTGCCTGGTACAAAGACAGTACTCAATAAGTGCTACCTAAAACTAGTATTCATAGCAATACTGTTAGGATAAAGAATTATCATATATGAGATAGTTCCAAATTTTTGTTTTTTTAAAAAAAAAAGAGTTTTATAAGTTCAAGATAATATTTTCTTACTTCAAAGAAACAATCTCACAACGAGGGAATGGTAAGAATCAGGAGAGATTACTAACCTGGCAGAGGAGCTATCACAATCACAAAGGTGGTTTTTCCAGGGCACGGCTCATCCATTACACTCCAGATGTGCTGACCCCTGCCATTTCCCCAAATGTGGGAAACCCAACTGCACAGTTTGTAGTAGTGGGTGACTGTGTTCATGCGCTCCCCTGAAAACAACAACAACAACAAAGAATCAGAAGAGATACTAGGCTATCTAATTCCTAAATCCAAACCTGATATTTCTAAGTAAGATTATAAGAATTTTTATTGCATTTTCTGAATTTGCTTTTGCATAAGTTATGTTATTTTTACAGGGTCTATATTACTATTATTTCTTAGAATAATACTAATTATAAAACAAAATTCTGTATATCACATTTAAATGTAATTTAATAGAATTATAATCACAAGACAAGACCAAACTTTGTTGATAATCCTCAGTAATTGCGAAAGGGGTATATACATGTAGGCCAGCATACATGCATAAACTACTTCTTATTGCTAGTCTAATTGTTCCATATGTAGCAAATACAGCAGTTCAGCAATATCTTGTGCTTACAGGGTCCTAAGCAGAGGTGATGAGTCAAGTGTAAATATATATATATATTTTTTTTATTTTTCATGGCAATTGTATATTAGTAACCTGGGGAGAAAAGGTTTATTGACAACCACTCTGATCCATCTGCTGCTATTTTTACTGCTAATTTGGTGCACATTAAAAAGAATGATCATGAAAAGATATTACTTTGAGTTAAAAGTATATATATATATATATATATATATATATACACACACACATATATATACAATAGTTTGATGTCAATAAATACATTTCTGAATGCTTAGTGTTGCTTCATTTACATAGAAAAAAACACACTTTAAAAACTGATATTGGTTTATTATATATATTCATTTCCTTCTCACAGTACTTTCCCATTCTCATTTTAGAAATAAAATGTGAATGATTTTTTAAGGCCAAATTTTATTCCCATCTGGCAGTTGTTTTGATTATAAGTAGTGGAAAAACTAACCTCAAGATTAAATAAGAACAGTAGAAGAGAAATGAATGACTCCGTTTGATGGAAATAATTTAATTGAGCAAATATTTAGTTGAGTTCCTTTTATGAACAAGATACTTTGTTAAAGTTCTGTGAAACATAAAGCTCTCATGAAAGAGCTAAGATTTGAAAACAACTAGTTATAGTACTATAAGGAGTGTAGTAAGAGTATAGAAAGTATACATAAGTGGTTTTCAAATTTTTAAGTTGACACCTTAAATTTTTTGTCAAATATTTAAAAATCTGCAAAAGATGCAATTTTTTAGAATATAGTATATATTGGCATTTTAAAAAATTACCGTGCTATTTATTTAATTGAATTTTAAAACTATAGTAATTTGTTACTACCCATCATCAAAAAAACAAAGACATTATGTATAAGCTTTTCATATCTATCTATATCTAGATATACCGATATCTAGATAGATAGATAGATAGATAGATAGATAGATAGATAGATAGATAGATAGATGCCTCCAGCTGCAAAGGACATGATTTCTTTTTTTTGCCTGCATAGTATTCCATGGTGTATATATATATCACACTTTCTTTATCCAATCAATCAACTATTGATGGACACTTTGATTCCATGATTTTGTTGTGAATAGGGCTGCATTAAACATACAAGCTCACATGTCTTTTAGACATAATATTTTTTTTCCTTTTGGTAGATGCCTAGTAGTGGGATTGCTGGGTTGAATGGTAGTTCTATTTTTCATTCTTTGAAGACTCTCCATACTGTTTTATTAATACATAGATGAACTAATTTACATTCCCACCAACAGTGTATAAGCATTCCCTTTTCTGTGTGTCCACACTAACGTCTGCTGTTTTTTGACTTCATAGTACTCATTCTGACTGATGTGAGATGTATCTCATTGTGGTTTTAATTTGCATTTCTCTGATGACTAGTGATGTTGAGAATTTTTCATATGTATGTTGGCCACTTGTATGTCTTCTTTCGAGGACATGTCTGTTCATGTCCTTTGCCCACTTTTTAATGGATTGTTTTTTCTTGTTGTTTGTGTTCCTTGTAGACTCTAGATATCAGTCCTTTGACAGATCCATAGTTTGCAAATATTTTCTCCCATTCTGTAGGTTGTCTGTTGACTCTACTGATTATTATTTTGTTGTGTGGAAGCTTTTTAGTTTAATTAAGCCTCATTTGTCTATTTTTGTTTTTGTTGCATTTGTTTTTGAGGTCTTAGTCATAAATACATTGCCTAGCCCAATGTCCAGAAGAGTTTTTCCTAGGTTTTCTTCTAGGGCTTTTATAGTTTCAAGTATTACATTTAGGTCTTTAATCCATTTTGAGTTATTTATATATAGTAAGAGTTAGGGGTCCCATTTCATTCTCTTGTATATGGCTGGCCTATTTTCCCAGCACCATTTATTGAATAGGGTATCCTTTCCCCATTGTTTATGTTTGTCAAAGATAAGTTGGTTATAGGCATGGGGATTTATTTCTGCGTTCTCTATTCTGTTCCATTGATCTATGTGTCTATTTCTGTGCCAGTACCATGCTGCTTTAGTCACTATAAGCTTGCAGTATAATTTGAAGTCAGATAATGTGATGCCTCTGACTTTGTTCTTCTTGCTTAGCATTGCTTTGACTATTCAGGCTATTTTTTGGTTCCATATAAACTTCAGGATTGTTTTTTCTAAATCTGTGAAGAATGATGTTATTAATTTGATAGGAATTGTGTTGGATCTGTATATTGCTTTGGGCAATTTGATCATTTTAATGATACTGATTCTTCCAATCCATGAGCAAGAGATGTTTTTCCATTTGTTTGTGTCATCTACTATTTTTTTCATCAGTGTTTTGTATTTCTCCTTGTAGAGGTCTTTCACCTCCTTGGTTAAATGTATAATCCTACTTTTTGTGTGTGCATGGCTATTGTAAATGGGATGGAGTTCTTCATTTGGTTCTCAGCTTCAGCATCATTGGTGTATAGATATGCAACTGATTTTTGTGCATTAATATTATGTCCTGAAACTTTACTGGAATTTTTTATAAGGATTAGCAGTCTTTTGAAGGAATCTTTAGAGTTTTCTAGGTATAAAATTATGTCATCAGTGAACAGAGATAATTTGACTTCCTCTTTTCCAATTTGGGTGCCTTTTATTTTTTCTCTTGCCTGATTTTTCTGGCTACGACTTCCAGTATTATGTTGAATAGAAGTCGTGAGAGTGGACATTCCTGTCTTATTCCAGTTCTTATGGGAAATGCTTTCAACTTTTCCCCATTCAGTATGATGTTAGCTGTGAGTTTGTTATATATGGCTCTTATTATTTTGAGGTATGTTCCTTCAATGCCTAGAGTCTTGAGAGTTTTTATCATGAAGGGATGTTGGATTTTGCTGAATGCTTTTCCTGTATCTATTTTTATGATCATATGGTTTACGTTTTTGTTTTCATTTTGTTTTAATTATCCATTCTTCATATTCAATTTTGGGGTTTTTTAAAAGTTTTTATTTTTAATTCTGCTTATGTGGCTAATCACATTTATTGATTTGCATATGTTGAATCATCCTTGCATTCCATGAAATAAAATCTACTTGATCACAATGAATTGTCTTTTTGACATACTCTTGGATTTGGTTTGCTAGTATTCTGTTAAGGATCTTTGCATTTATGTTCATCAGGGATATTGTTCTGCAGTTTTTTGTTGTTCTTGTTGTGTCCTTGCCTGATTTTGGTATCAGGGATACTGATTTTGTAAAATGAGCTATGGAGAAATCCCTCATTCTCACTTTTTTGGAATAGTTTCAGTAAGATTGGTACTAGCTCTTCTTTGTATATCTCGTAAAATTTGGCTGTGAATCTGTCTGTTCCTGGGCTTTTTTTGTTGAAAGACTTTTATTATTGCATCAATTTTATTAACTGTTATTGGTCTGATCCAGATTTCTGTACCTTTCTCATTCAGTCTTGGGAGGTTGTGTGTTTCCAGGAATGTATCCATTTCCTCTAGGTTTTCTAGTTTGTGTGCATAGAGGTACTTATAGTAACCTTTGATGATCTTTTATATTTCTTTGGTATCAGTCATAGTTTTACTTTCATCATTTATGAGTGTGCTTATTTGGTTTTGTTTGGTTTGTTTTTTGATACAGGGTCTTGTTCTATTGCCCAGGCTGGAGTGCAATGGCATGATCACAGCTCACTGCAGCCTCAGCCTTCTTGGCACAAGCAATTCTCCCGACTTACTCTCCCAAGTAGTTAGGAATACAGGTGTGCAACACTGCACCCAAGTAATTTTTTTTAAAATTCTTTTGGGGAGACAGGATCCCACTATATTGCCAGGCTGGTCTTGAACTTCTGGGCTCAAGCTATCCTCCCACCTCAGCCTCCCAAAGTGCTGGATTACAGGTGTGAGCCACCATGCCCAGCCTGTGCTTATTTGAATATTCTCTTTTTTTCCTGGTTAAAGTGGCTAGCAGTCTATCAATTTGTTTATCGCTTCAAAAAACCAACTTTTTGTTTTGTTGATCCTTCATGTCATTGTTGAGTTTTGTTTTGTGTTTTTTTGTCTCAATCTCATTTAGTTCTACTCCAATCTTTGTTACTTCTTTTCTTCTGCTAGCTTTGGGTTTTGTTTTGTTTTTCTTATTTTTTCCAAGTATCTTACTTTTTCTTCTTCTCCCTCAGGAATTGTTTTCCTGATTTCTTTGTGTAGGTTTTCATCTTTCTCTTGGATCTCACTGAACTTTCTTACAATCCAAATATTGAATTCTCTATCTGTCTTTTCAAAGTTTTCATTTGGGTTAGAATCCATTGCTAGAGAGCTAATGGATTCCTTTGGGGATGTCACAATATTCTGTTTCTTTATAGTGCTGAAGTTCTCATGCTGGCTCCTTCTCATCTGTTGAAGCTGTCACTTCATATTTTTTAATTTACTTTCATTTGGGTAGATTTTTTCTTCCTTCCTTGAGAGTGTGACTATTACATATATCGGGTAGGGTCCTTTGCTTTGCTTCTGTAATTTTTTCAGGAGACCAACGTCTGAATTTCATGGTTATAGATAGCCTTAGTGTAGTGGTTTTCTCAAATGCTAGTTGTAAGTTGTAGTAGCAGTGTGGTGTGTGTGTGTGTGTGTGTGTGGCCAGGCACACTGTCTACTACACATATGGGGAGGTGGAGGTCTCAGGAGGTTTATCTCATTTCTCAGTCAGCAGGAATTATATAAAGTTGTGCAGTTCACTACCTGCTAGTAGGTAGCACTTGTGGGTAAAAGTTGGTTGAACACTGTACAATAATGTCAGCAGAAATTGTGATGAGTTGTACAGCTTGATTTCCCAGCCAGTAGGTGGTACTTGGAGGAGAGAGGCAGTTGCAGTGGTGGCAGTGAAATTTTTACTTGACCTTTGTTGATTGGGGAAAAGTACTGGGGTACCTCTGGCACTGGACAGGGTATAGGGTTCCCAGGGGTCCCTTCCCAAGCTCTGCCGCTAAGGTAGCCACAGCAGGCAAAGCTGGGCTGGTCCAAGCACCAACCTTGGTGGGGACCTGGGGAAGCTCTCAGGCCACGGGGCCCCTCGTCCAGGGAGGAATGGAAGTGCCTCTACTGTGCCACAGAGCCCACTCAGGGGAAAGGGGCAGCCCTGGGTTTTCAACCCAGCAGGGGGCTGGGGCACACCCAGCAACAAGCCCAACTGGTTGGGCTAGTCACAAGCCTTCTGTGCCCAGATTTTCAAGGTATTCCAGGTATTCCAGACCATGAGACTCCCTGTGCAGAAGCTGTAGCTATCAGGTCATAGCTTTTGCCGTCCAGTCTCACAAAGGGAGGGACGCCTAGCTCCCCACCTCCACATGAACCCACACCATACTTTTCTCTGTGTTTTGACAGTGGGGTCTCTGCCCCTGCTCAAAATCAGGCCACAGACCTCATCTCCATACCTCTGGGTAGTGTGTTCAAGTCCTGAGGACCTGGGACAAGAGCAGTGGATTTGTCCTCTTGCCCCTCAAGGTCAAGCACTGGCTGTGACAGGGGGATGAACTGCTCCCAGGCCACCAACAAACCACTCAGGGGGAGCAATGGAGGATATACTGTGACCCTCCACCCCTACTCCCTCCAGGAGACCAAGCAAGCAGTCTTGAAAGGGACCATCAGGCATAGGGGTGTGTGATTCAACTGTAACCCCAGTCCTGTGGCAATGGTGATGAGGCCTATCTTGGGCATGTGAGCATACACTCGCCCTGCTCTCTCTCAGCCAGCAAAGAGCTGGAGCTGTAGCCACTTAGATCCAGACACAGAACTCTGGGGTGGGTAGGTGACCAGAGTCACATTTTGCTTCACTTGCCCAGCATACTGAAGCTTTTTGGGCTTCATGCAGATTCAAGCAGTGCCTCTGTGTGTTCTTCAGGCTGTTCCCTCTGCCAGGCCAAAGGTTTGTTGATGTCATGTGAACTCCTGTAGCTAGTATCTCAGAGGTCCACAGCGGGAACGTGGTGCTCTGAAGTTCCTTTACTCACTCCTTCCTTGGGTCTGGTCCAGGTCCAGGAGCAGGGTCCTGATGCCCAGTGATGCTGAGCAGCCAGCCCCGCTTCCTTCCTCTTTAACCATGCTGTCTTCTGTCACCTCTCTGTTAAATTTTGTTTTTTTCTCTTAAAACACTTGTTCCAAGTGTGAAGGTTTACTCAATATTTTGGTTCTTCTCCATGAGAGAAGGCACAATCCAGCTGCATCTAGTCAGCCATCTTTTAATCTCTCTACAAATCTTGATAAAATTTATTTTATCAAACTGTAAAAGTACTTATTTTAGAAATAGATCTCAATGAGAAATGTGGGGTTATTTTTCAATTAATTTATTAATAGATGGATATTCCTTATTGCTAAGGTAAAGCAGTATTAGGCATAAATTCTATTATTACTTTTTGCTAATATAGATGTAAGTTTTGAAAATCTTGTTTTTATTAATAAGTAGATAGGAATGGAAGGATCAATGTCATTCAATTGCATGAATCATTTCCAAGTTATAGCCAAAAAGCTCATAAAAATTAATCATAAAAATAACTTTTAATAATCTATCAGCTAATAACTCAGTTGGGTTCTTCTTCAATTTTTTTTGAAGAACATATATTGCAAAAGAAATTGTTAGTCTTTTGTTACAGTCATTCCCTCACTTATTTTCTGGGCAAAAGGGCTTTACTAAGACTTAACAAAATACTAATTATATTGTTGAATCACTTACTTAGAGGCACTTTGATTAACCTGATATACTCAGAAAGAGTTGGGAGAATTGAAATATTATTAATTTTATGCATTTTTACATATATAAAATAAAACTCTTGTATCTTATCACATGCTCTATTTCCATTAAATTATTGGAACTTGGATTTTGCTTGTTAGCTTGTTCAGTTCATGGAAAATGTCTGTCATAACCTAATGAGCAAATCCAGTCCTCATCGTCAAACTAATTTTCCACATCAGACTTACTTTCTATCTGACTTCATTTTTCAATTCCAGTAAGTACCTTAATACTTACCTGTAACAACTATCTCCTGTCTGAATCCCCATGCTTACATAGGTAAACACTGATGAGGCATGGATACTTGCCATAAGCCTGTCTCCTGCATTTCTTACAGATATTTTGTTTTCTTTACCTTTACTGATCTTTCCCTCAGGAGCAATGTACTTTAAAAATAATTCGGTAAGATCTGCTACACAAAAGTGGACACTATCCAGTTGTACAATGCCTGAATTCAAAATATCCTAACCCAGGCCAAAATATACAATTTCTTATGGCACTTTAGCTGAGGTATGCAGCATAGGTAAAATGATTTCCAATTATTATTTGGCCCTCTAAAGATTTAATATTCTGAGTGCACCAAGGTGAGTGTCAGGATCCAATGAGGATTATGACTTTCTTTTGCAAAGTGGGAGGATAATTATGAAAGAAGTATTGGAAAGAACTAGCCTAATACCCAACTGCAGCCACATTATTGAGCATGAAAGCAAACACTTTTGTCCACGAACAAGGGATAACATTTCCAATTTTGAAAATAGTTATACAACTTATTCATAAACTAAATACTATTGGAGGTGGGATTGAAGGTAGGGAAAAAACAAAACAAAGGATCCACCCAGAGGAGCCGCCATCCAAACAACAGAGTTTTGAAAGAGGAAAAACAAAATGGAGGGAAGGAAGTTATCAAAGATACATTATATTGACATTTTGCTGAACTGAAGAACAGGACTTGAGATTGAAAGTTAATTGTATGCCAAACACAACAAACAAACAAACAAACCCCAAAATTTCATCATGAAATTTCCAAACAGCTGAGATTAAGAAAATATAATAGCACATAAACACATCTAGAAAGGAAAGCCAGATCACAAAGGAACAAAACTCATAAAAACCATGTAATAGCTGATCAGCAACTGTAGAAGCTAAAAAGCTGAGGAGAAATGCCTTCTGAAGAAATTCTGAAGAAAAACCATTTTCAATCTAGAATCCTATGTCTGGACATATTGATAATTGAGTGCAAAAGTAGAATAAAGATATGTGTGACATGCAAGGATTCAAAATTTTATCTCTTTTGGACATTTTCTCATGAAACTTGTAGAAGGTATATCCTACCAAAACAAAGTGTGGGGGAAAGGAAGACATGGGATTCAGAAAAAGCAGAGTTATGAAGTTCCAAGAGAGAAGTCATAGGTAGACAGCCAGCATCAGGGCCTAGAAAGCAACCAATTCAAATTGAAGCAAGGAAAATAAAGTTCTAGGGAAAAACAGAACTTAAGGATTATCTGATGTGTGTGGCTATATGAAGAATAATATGGAGCATTTAGAAAAAAAATAGTGATAAATACATAGAAAGCTAAACAAATGAAAATATAATTATTAGGTCCTGGGAAGAGAGTAGCATAAGAAAGAAAACATTATAATACCCTACTTGGCTTGGCAGTGAATGATTATTTACATAATTATGGAAAACACTGGATATTGTTATAATCCTTGTTTTGGAATAAAATTTATAGTAGGACTATATTATGAGATATGAGGAAAAGAAGAATGAGAAAGTATGGAAAAGAAAGCTCAATTATTGTTTATCATAATAACTTGTCAACACAAAACAACCCAAATCAATAAAGCAAGAAATACCAGCAAATATACTGGTATATGTGCTGGTAATTTTTCCTTTGCCCTTCCAAATCTATTTCTGTCCTTTCCAATGGGAGAGTGTGAGAATGTCTGTGTAGGCTGAGGGAACAGAACAAATTGAGAAATAATTTTAGGGTGAGTGAGAGGAGAATAAGTGGACCATGAGAAACTTTGATATAAAAAAATCACAGGTAGCTATATTAGGAAGGAGGCAGAAAGGTAAGAGGAAAATCAATAAAGCTGTAGAGACATTTTTAGACAGAGTAGGAAAGTTAAGGATGCTTGTATTAGGTGGACTAGCTCTTTTCAGCAGAGAAAGTATTACATAAGCTCATAACCTAGGCAGGTACGGGCTCCTATAAACCAGCTGCACCATAAACTTGAGGCCTGATTATGGATTTATCAGCTGAGTCATCTTGGGTGGATCAAATAATCTAAAATTTCAATCATTTACTACCACATAAAATGAAAATAAAGGTAGCATGCTTGACTCGTAGGATTTTGTGAGAGAGAAATAATTGTTAAATTTTAAAAACTGAGATGTGCTATGCAACATGCAAATAATTTAGTCTTCAAATGGTGCATTCGTCTGCTTGGGCTGCCATAACAAACACCATAGGCTGGATGGCTTAAACAACGGTAATTTATGTCTCACAATTCTGGAGAGTGGAAATTCCAAGATGAAAGTGCCAGCTTATTTGGTTTCTGGTAAGGGCTCTCTTTCTGGCTTTCAGGTGGCCCCCTTCTCCCAGTGTACTCACATGGTAGAGAGGAATAGAGCTCTGGTATCCCTTCCTTTTCTTATAAAAGCATCAGCGGTACTGATGAGCCCCATTCTTATTACCTCATTTAACCTCCTTATAGGCCCTACCTCCAGATACAGTCACATTGGAGGTTAGAGCTTCAACAAATGAATTTTGGGGAGACACAAATATTCAATTCATAAAAAATGGTAAAGAGCTTTTATCTCCAGGAGAGAAAAAGAAAAGACATACTGTGGGAGGATGGGGGTAAAGGGCCAACCTGCTTTGGAGAAATTAGCATGTTTTAATATTAATCTATTTTAAAGAATGAAAATGTTACCCACTTTTGTTTTCTTTTGATGTTGTAGCCATTAAATAACACTGAAATACTTTCCAAAAAAAAAAAACCTACCCATCAGTTTTCAAAGGACTCTATTTAAAAAAAAAAAAAAAAAGATATTTTGGAAAACAAGACTGGAGACAACTTGTATGGCCAGATAATAGAATTCAGACTTGCCAGATAAAATACAAGACACCTTGTTATATTTAAATTTCAGAATCTCAGTACGGAAGCACAAAAGACCCGGAAGAGTGAAAGCAATCTTGATCAAAAAGAACAAAATTGACAGCATCATACTAATACATTTCAAAACATATTAAAAAGCTACAGTAATCAAAACAGCATGGTACTGGCATAAAACCAGACACATTGGCCAATGAAATGGAATACAGAACCCAGAAATAAACCCACACATCAATAGTCAATTGATTTTCAACAGAGGTACCAGAAACATACAATGGTGAAAGGATAGTCTCGTCAATAAATAAATGATGGGGCCAGACACAGTGGCTCATGCCAGTAATCCCAGCACTTTGGGAAGCCAAGGTGAGAGTATTACTTGAGCCCAGGAGTTCAAGACCAGCCTAGACAACACATGAGACCTTGTCTCCATAAAATAATAAAAAATAACTAGCTGGGCATGGTGGCACACACATGTAGTCCCAACTACTTGGGAGGTTGAGACAGAAAGATCACTTCAACCCAGCAGTTTGAGGCTGCAGTGAGCTATGAACATGCCACTGCACTCCAGCCTGGGTGACAGACTGAGACCTTGTCTCTAAAAGAAACCAAAAACAAATAAATAAATAAATACAGTTGGAAAAACTGGATATCCACATGCAGAAGAATGAAATTGGACCCTTATTCCATCCCTTATAGAAGAATCAACTCAAAATGAATTAAAGGCATAAACACTAGATCTGAAACTATAAAACTACTGGAAGAAAACATAGGGCAAAAGCTCCAAGACATTCGTCTAGACAGTGATTTCTTGGATATGACCCCAAAAGCACAGGCAACAAAAGCAAAAATTGATCATGGAATTTCATTAAAGTAAAAACTTCTGCACAGCTAAGGAAACAATTAACAGAGTAAAGAGACAACCTACAGATGGGGAGAAAATATTTGCAAATCACACATTGGATAAGAGGCTGATATACAAAATACACAAGGAACTCAATCTACTCCATAACAAGAAAACAAATAACCCGATTTAAAAATGGACAAAGGACCTAAATAGAAATTTCTCAAAAGAAGGCATACAAATGGCCAAAAGATATATGAAAAATGCTCAGTATCTCTAATCGTCAAAGAATTGCAAATTAAAATAACAATAAGATATCACCCCATACCTGTTAGACTGGCTATTATCTATTATCAAAAAGAGGACAGATAAGAAGAGTTAGTGAGGATGTGGAGAAAAAGAAATGCTTGTACACTGCTGTTGGGAAAGTAAATTAATATAACCATTTTGGAAAACAACATGGAGGTTCCTTTAAAATCAAAAACTAGAATTACCATATGATCCAGCAATCTCACTTCTTGTGTTTATAACCAAGGAAATTGAAATCAGTGTGTCAAAGAGATGTTTGCACCCCCATGTTCATCACAGCATTACTCACAATAGCCAAGGCTTGAAAAAACCATGATGCCCATCAACAGATGAATGTTTAAAATGTAGTGTATACACAAAATAGAATACTATTCAGTTTTTAGAAAGCATGAAATTCCATCATTTGTGACAACATGGATGAACCTGGAAGATATTATGCTAACCGAAGTAAGCCAGGTACAAAAAGACAACATTCTGCATGATCTCACTTACATGTGGAACCGAAAATAGTCAAACTCATAGAAGCAGAGAGTAGAATAGTGGTCACCAGAGCCTGTGGGTGGGTGCAGGTAAATCATTGATCCAAGAATACAAAGTTTCAGTTACACAGGAGGAGTCAGTTTTGGTGACCTATTGCACATAATAACTATAATTAATAATGTATTTAATGTATTGTAATATTTCAAAATAGCTAAAACAGTGAATTTTGGATGTACTAATCACAGAGAAATGATAGGTACTTGAGGTGAATATGTTAATTAGCCTGATTTGATCATTCTATAATTTATACATGTATCAAAGCATCATATTGTACTTCATAAATATATACAATTATTACTTGTCAATTAAAAATAAAATATATAAAATAAAAATAAATGAAATTTCAGAATCTTTTTTTTCTTTTGAGACAGGGTCTCACTCTGTCATCCAGTCTGGAGTGCAGTGGTACAATCTCAGCTCACTGCAACCTTTGCCTCCTGGGCTCGAGTGACCCTCCCAACTCAGCCTCCCAAGTAGCTGGGACCACAGATGCATGCCACTACCAAGCCTGACTAATTTTTTGTATTTTTGGTTGACATGGGTTTCACCATGTTGCCCAGGCTGGTCTTGAACTCCTGAGCTCAAGTGATCCTCCCACCTCGGCCTCCCAAAGTGTTGGGATTACAGGTGTGAGCCACTGTGCCTGGCCAAATTTCAGAACTGTATGCAATATCTGGAACATATACTAAAAAAAAAATTGTGTATATATGAAATTCAAATGTAATTGGGTGTTCTGTTTTTTCATTTGCTGAATCTGGTAATACTAAAAAGTTTTCATTATAAAACTGTGGCATGGTAAAATATAAATACACAGGCACAATATTAAAAACTCAGAAACAGGCACAACCTCATAAAAGTAATTAATACTTAACCAAGTGTGGTAGCACAAGCCTGTAGTCCCAGCTAGGGATTCAGGAGGCTGAGGTAGAGGTATCACTTGAGCCCAAGAGTTCAAGTCCAGCCTGGGCAGCATAAGATGACCCTGGCTCTAAAATAAATAATAAAAATAATTAATACTTGATAATGTAGGTATTGCAAACAAGGAAGAAGTATATATAAGTTAATGTTGCTGAACATGTATTTACTAGTTAGGAAAATAAACTTAAATGCCTACCTTATGCTAACCAAAACAATTAGTGGCACATGGAGAAAAATGCCAAATTTATTTTTTTAAGAACCAAAAGAAAATGTGGATATTTATCTGATCTTGGGGTGCAAAATATCTTTCTAAATAAAAGCAAAAAAGAAAACAACTATAAGAGGAAAAAAATGACAGTTTTTCCTACCTACAAATTAAATATTTGTATATGTTTTGTAAAAATAAAAATAAATAACAAAGTGAAAAAAAATTCACCATGTATAACAAAAGGAAGATATTCTTTTTTTGGGGGGGCGGGGCAGGGGACAGATTCTCACTCTATTGCCCAGGCTGGCACAATCTTGGCTCGCTGCAACCTCCAGGGCAGATATTCTTAATGCCTAAAGAATGAGATACCATTATTTTCCCCATCAAATTGGCAAAGTTAAAAATGGTAAGGTTGGGTATCCCTAATCTGAAAATCCAAAATCTGAAATGCTCCAAAGTCCAAAACTTTTTGATCATGAACATGAGGCTCAAAAGAAATGCTCATTGGAGCAATCTGGATTTTCAGATTAGACATACTCAACTCGTAGGTATAATGCAAATAATCCAAAACCTGAAATAATATCAAATCTGAAACACTCTGGTCTCAAGCATTTCAGATAAGGAATATTCAACCTGTATTACTGAGGTTGGCAAAAATGCTAAGAAAACAGGACCCTCATACACTGATGGAAGCATAAATTGGTATATGTAGCAAACATATATTTCTGTAATGAAGAGTAAGAAAAGATATTTTCGGATGAAGAAAAGCCAGGAGATTTTTGTTGCCTGCAGACCTGTTCTAAAGGCTTAAAGGAAATATTAAAAAAAAAAAACTGGGAAATTCAGGAATGAAGGAAAAGTAAAACAAATAGCAACATCTGGATAAAATACTTTTAAAAACTATTTTCATCTTAAGTTCTTTAAAACACATATATGTTTTACTGTTGAAAGCAAAAATTATAATATTATCTAGTAAGATTTTCAGTGCATATAGATATAATACATATGACCACTATGACATAAGGGCAGAGAGACAAAGTAACCTGTATGGTTTTAAGGCTTCTACATTTTACTTAAGTGAGTAATAATATTAACTTTAAGTAGACTGTGAATGGTTAGCTATATATGTTGTAATTCTTACAGCCACCACTAGAAAAATAATACAAATAATACAAAGAGATATGACAAAAAGCCAATACATAAAATAAAATGGAATACTTAAAAAAATCAATAAAATGGTAGACATAAATCCAACTATAGCAATAATGATAAGTATAAATGGTCTAAACAATTAACAGAGATTGTACAATTGGGCATTACAGTAAGACTCAACTAACTATATTCTACCTACAAGATATCCACTGTAAATATAAACATATAGGTGGATTCAAAATAGAAGAATGAAAAAAAAAGAAGAAAGCTGGAGTAGCTATATTAATACCAGATAAAGTAAACTTCAAAACAACAAATACAATGGAAGATAAAGAGAGATCTTATATAATAAAAGGTCAATTCACCAAGAAGATATAACAATCCTAAATATGCATGTACCTAACAAGAGTTTCAAAATATGTGAAGAAAAACTGATAGCAATGAAAGGGGAAAAAAATAGACAAATCTACCTTGTAGTTGAAGACTTTGACACCCCTTCTCAGTAACTGATAAAAACAAGTAGACAAAAAATCAGTAAGGATGTACAAGACCTGACCAACAAACAAATTAAGCTAATCGACATTTTAAAAACACTCTCCCCTTTAGCAGCAGAATACGCATTCTTTTCAAGTGTACATGAAAGATTCACCAAAGTAGATCATATTCTGGGCCACAGAATATATCTTAACAAATATAAAAGAATTGAAATCATACAAACTATATTTTCTAACCATTAAAAATTAAATTAGAAATCAATAAGAGAAAGATACCTGACAATACCAAGTGCTACTAAGGATAGAAAGTACCTGGAATCCTCATTCACTGCTGGTGGGAATGCACAATGGTAGAACCATTTTGGAAAACAGTTTGGCAGTGTCATAAAGTTAAATATACGCTTAACGTAAGACCCAGCAATCTCACACCTAGATATTTACCCAAGAGAAAAGAAAATTTATGTTCCCATAAAAACTTTTTTATGGCTTTTTTCATAAACATCAGAAACAGAAATGCCCATATGTCATTCAACTGATGAATGGATAAATTATAGAATACTTCTCAATAAAACAGAATAAACAGCTGATACATGTAACAACATGGATGAATCTCAAATGTGTTAGGCTAAGTGAAGGAAGCCAGACTCAAAAGGCTACATAATCTGATTCCATTGATATGACAGCTACAAAGTGTAAAAGTATAGGACTAGATAACTGAGTAGTACATGCAAGGAATTGGGGTTGACATATAAAGCAGCAGTAATTTGGGAGAGTGATGGAACTGTTCCTTATCTTGACTGTGGTGGTGGTTTGCTGAACCATGTATTTGTCCAAACTCATAAAATGAAATACCAAAAAGTGTAAATTTTAATGTATGTAAATTTTTTAATTAAATTTAAACATTTTAAAACATTTGGATAAAATGAAAAGCAATGAACTTCTCTTCTCAGGTCACTTGACGAGAAGTTTTTTCCCATGTTTTCTGCTTGTGGTCAATCATCAAAACATGAATCAAAACCAAACCAATTAAACTTGTTTGTTCTGTTAAGTCTCAGTAATTTGTGGCAGAAGAAGAATATGCCAATCATCAAAACCCAGAGATAATCCTAAAGCACAATTTGAGCTTCTCTTCATAGCCTCTGCACTGACACTCAAAACCTCTTTCCAGAACTGCCAAGGAGGCTTGATTGAGTTTCAGCATCATTTCCAGGCCTCCCCAGGTGGAGCCATTAATAGTCAGTGAAATGGCCCAAAAAAAAAAGCACTGAAAGGAATATGAGTTTCAAAAATTTGCCAACTACACTGTAAATTTCTGAATGACTGAGAACTGAAGCCCATGGTACCATCTTCCCTGCCTCACATCCTACTGCAGCTCCAAAGTAAAAATCAAACCCATAACAATGATCTTAGGATATTGTGTAACCCTGAAGATGTCGGGGTGAGGCTGGCTGGGTCTAGAGCTCCCGTCAATCTACACAGTCAAGAACATTTGTACTCAGAACCTCTGAAAACCAGTTTCAGTTTGGACTTGTTCCCAAGCAACAGCGACGATTATTTTTATCTCTTAACGTTATAGTTTAACGAATTCACTAATGATTAAGACAATTTTAAAGACCAAGTAGGCCCCACTAGCTAAACGGCTGTTGCACTTTAGTTAACGTGCAAAGGATGTCCACTGCCTGCAGTTAGCTAATAACGCATTATAATTAATAGTACTTGGGAAAAGTGTCCTGTCAGCGGGAGCCCTGAGGCTGTTTTCCTAATGCACCAAGATGATCTCAATCAGGCTTCTTCTGTTTCATCAAATAAGCAACTGGTGCTGTCCCTACTCTCATTCTTTTAATTCT